>NW_021160013.1:0-199591 GCF_000001405.40 Homo sapiens
GTGCATGGTCCATGAACACATATTTCCAGCTCCTACCTCTCCTCTAAAATTTAGACTCATATCTAATTATCTACCAATTATCACCACTTGGAAGACTAACAGACAACTCAACTATCACACATCCATAAAGGGATTCTTGATCCTTCACCTTCAACCCCTGGGCCCAACACTCCTCAGTCGTCTCCGTCTCAGTAAATAACACCTCCAGCGTACCAGCCGTTAGGACAGTAAACTTGCCTTGACCCCACTTTGTTTCTTGCACCTCGTATCAGCATACACTGTTGAACTGTATTAAGAATCTGAGCTTCCCTTGCCACACCCATTGTGTACAACCTGCTTCACTTTACGTCATTGCTTTCATGGATTACCAAAATAGCCTCCTAACTCCTTTCCCACTTTCTCTTTCTCCTTGTACTTTGTTCTTCACTGAGCAACCAGAGTAAGTCTTTATTTTATTTTTTATTTTTTTTTTGAGACAGAGTCTCCTCTGTCGCCCAGGCTGGAGTGCAGTGGTGCAATCTGGGTTGACTACAACCTCTACCTCCTGGGTTCAAGTGATTCTCCTGCCTCAGCCTCCCAAGTAGCTGGGATTACAGGCATGCACCACCAAGCCTGGCTAATTTTTTGTGTTTTTAATAGAGATGAGCTTTTGCCATGTTGGCCAGGCAGGTCTCGAACTCCTGACCTCAGGTGATCCAGAGTAAGTCTTTTTAAAGCATAAGGAAAATAATGTTTTCATCTGCTTAAAACCTTCCATGGCTAGGAATGTTTTAAACCATCTTGTCCCCTGACACTTCTCTGATGTCTAGTCCAATCAGTCTCCCCTGTATTATTGCAATCTTCAAAGACACCAGACAGATGTGCTTCTGCCTCAGGGCCTTTGCATGTGTGGTCCCCTTTGCCTGGAATGCTTTCTCATCAGGAATCAGGATGGCTTACTTCCTCTCTTTTTTATTTTTATTTTATTTTATTTTATTATTATTATACTTTAAGTTTTAGGGTACATGTGCACAACGTGAAGGTTTGTTACATATGTATACATGTGCCATGTTGGTGTGCTGCACCCATTAACTCGTCATTTAGCATTAGCTATATCTCCTAATGCTATCCCTGCCCCCTTCCCCCAACCCACAACAGTCCCTGGTGTGTGATGTTCCCCTTCCTGTGTCCATGTTTTCTCATTGTTCAATTCCCACCTATGAGTGAGAACATGTGGTGTTTGGTTTTCTGTTCTTGCGATAGTTTGCTGAGAATGATGGTTTCCAGTTTCATCCATGTCCCTACAAAGGACATGAACTCATCATTTTTTATGGCTGCATAGTATTCAGTGGTGTATATGTGCCACATTTTCTTAATCCAGTCTATCATTGTTGGACATTTGGGTTGGTTCCAAGTCTTTGCTATTGTGAATAGTGCCACAATAAACATATGTGTGCATGTGTCTTTATAGCAGCATGATTTATAAACCTTTGGGTATATGCCCAGTAATGGGATGGCTGGGTCAAATGGTATTTCTAGTTCTAGATCCTTGAGGAATCACCACAGTGACTTCCACAATGGTTGAACTAGTTTACAGTCCCACCAACAGTGTAAAAGTGTTCCTATTTCTCCACATCCTCCCCAGCACCTGTTGTTTCCTGACTTTTTAATGATTGCCATTCTAACTGGTGTGAGATGGTATCTCATTGTGGTTTTGATTTGCATTTCTCTGATGGCCAGTGATGATGAGCATCCTTTCATGTGTCTTTTGGCTGCATAAATGTCTTCTTTTGAGAAGTGTCTGTTCATATCCTTTGTCCACTTTTTGATGGGGTAGTTTGTTTTTTTCTTGTAAATTTGTTTGAGTTCATTGTAGATTCTGGATATTAGCCCTTTGTCAGATGAGTAGGTTGCAAAAATTTTCTCCCATTTTATAGGTTGCCTGTTCAGTCTGATGGTAGTTTCTTTTGCTGTGCAGAAGCTCTTTAGTTTAATTAGGTCCCATTTGTCAATTTTGGTTTTTGTTGCCATTGCTTTTGGTGTTTTAGACATGAAGTCCTTGCCCATGCCTATGTCCTGAATGGTATTGCCTAGGTTTCCTTCTAGGGTTTGGGCTCATAATAAAGGGATGGAGGAAGATCTACCAGGAAAATGGAAAACAAAAAAAGGCAGGGTTTGCAATCCTAGTCTCTGATAAAACAGACTTTAAACCAACAAAGATAAAAAGAGACAAAGAAGGCCATTACATAATGGTAAAGGGATCAATTCAACAAGAAGAGCTAACTATCCTAAACATATATGCATCCAATACAGGAGCACCCGGATTCATAAAGCAAGTCCTGACTGACCTACAAAGAGAGTTAGACTCCCACACAATAATAATGGGAGACTTTAATACCCCACTGTCAACACTGGACAGATCAAAGAGACAGAAAATTAGCAAGGATACCCAGGAATTGAACTCAGCTCTGCACCAAGCGGACATAATAGACATCTACAGAACTCTCCACCCCAAATCAACAGAATATACATTTTTTTCAGCACCACACCACACCTATTCCAAAATTGACCACATAGTTGGAAGTAAAGCTCTCCTCAGCAAATGTAAAAGAACAGAAATTATAGCAAACTGTCTCTCAGACCACAGTGCAATCAAACTAGAACTCAGGATTAAGAAACTCCCTCAAAACCGCTCAACTACATGGAAATTGAAAAACCTTCTCCTGAATGACTACTGGGTACATAATGAAATGAAGGCAGAAATAAAGATGTTCTTTGAAACCAATGAGAACAAAGACACAACATACCAGAATCTCTGAGACACATTTAAAGCAGTGTGTAGAGGGAAATTTATAAAACTGAATGCCCACAAGAGAATGCAGGAAAGATCCAAAATTGACACCCTAACATCACAATTAAAAGAACTAGAGAATCAAGAGCAAACACATTCAAAAGCTAGCAGAAGGCAAGAAATAACTAAAATCAGAGCAGAACTGAAGGAAATAGAGACACAAAGTTTGTCCCCCTTAGGGAGGGACAAACTTTCAAACAACAGCGAGAGTGTTCTGAAATCCTCTGTTATAGACAAACATTCAGAGCCTCGTCCCTGTTTTCTGGAAATCTACGTAAGGGAGAAACACTCAGAATCCAGCAACAGTGTCTTGGAATCGTATGTTACGGACATACATGTAGACCCCAGCAGCAGTGTTCTGGGATCCTATGTGAGGGACAAACATTCAGACAATCGTAGCAGTGTTGTGGAATCCTACTTGAGGGGCAAACATTCAGACCCCAGCAGCAGTGTTCTGGAATCCTATGTGAGGAAGGAACACTGAGAACATAGCAGGAGTGTTTTGGAATCCTACGAGAGGGAAAAACAATCAGACCCTTGTGGCAGTGTTCTGGAATCCCATGTGAGGTACAAACATTAAGCCCACAGCAGGGGTGTTCTGCAGTCCTGCGTGAGGGACAAACTTTCTGACCCAAGCAGCAGTGTTCTGGAATCCTATATGAGGGACAAACATTCAAACAGCTGTGGGAGTGTTCTGGAATCCCATGTTAGGGACAAACATTAAGACCCTCGTCGCAGTGTTCTGGAATTCTATGTGAGTGACAAACACTCAGAACCCGGCAACAGTGTTCTGGAATCCTATGTGACGGGCATACATGTAGACCCCAGAAGCAGTGTTCTGGAATCCTATGTGAAGAACAAACATTCAGACAATTGTAGCAGTGTTCTTTAATTCCATTTGAGGGACAAACATTCAGACCCTCATAGTATTGTTCTGGAATCCTACGTGAGCGACAAACATTCAGACAATCGTAGCAGTGTTCTGGGATACTATGTGTGGGACAAACATTCAGACACCAGCAGCAGTGTTCTGGAATCCTATGTGAGGGACAAAGATTCAGACCCTCAAAGAAGTGTTCTGGAATCCTATGTGAGTGACAAACCTTCAGACAATCGTAGCAGTGTCCCGGAATACTATGTGTGGGACAAACAACCAGACACCAGCGGTAGTGTTCTTGAATCCTATGTTATGGACAAACATTCAGACCCTTATCACAGTATTCTGGAATTCCATGTGAGGGAGAAACACTTATAACCCAGCAGCAGTGTTCTGGAATCCTATGTGACGGACATACATATAGACCCCAGAAGAAGTGTTCTGGAATCCTATGTGAGGGACAATCATTCAGACCCTTGTAGCAGTGTTCTGGAATTCTGTGTGAGGGACAAACATTCTGGCCACAGCAGGACTGTTCTGGAATCCGCTATGAGGAACAAACATTCAGGACCTTGTAGCAGTGTAGTGGAATCAGATGTGACTGACAAATATTTAGACCCCAGAAGCAGTGTTCTGGAGTCCTGTGTGAGGGACAAACATTCAGAACCTCTTAGCAGTGTTCTGGAATCCTAAGTGAGAGACAAACACTCAGAACACAGCAGCAGTGTTCTGGTACCCTATGTGAGGAACAAACATTCAGATCACAGCAGGATTGTTATGGAATCCTATGTGAGGGACAAACACTCAGAACACAGCTGGAGTGTTTTGCAATGTTATGTGAGACACAAATATTCAGACCCTCGTAGCAGTGTTCTGGAATCCTATGTGAGGGACAAACATTCAGACCCCAGCAGCAGTGTTCTGGAATCCTATGTGAGGGAAAAACATTCAAACCCTCGTAGCAGTGTTGGGGAATCCTATGTGAGGGAAAAACTTTCAAAGAGTCGTAGCAGTGTTCTGGAATCCTATGTTACGGACAAACGTTCAGACTCTCGTTGCAGTGTTCTGGAATTCTATGTGAGGGACAAACACTCAGAATCCAGCAGAAGTGTTCTGGAATCCGGTGTGATGGACATACATGTAGACCCCAGCAGCAGTGTTCTGGAATCCTATGTGAGGGACAATCATTCAGAAACTCGTAGCAGTGTTCTGGAATTCTGTTTGAGGGACAAACGTTCAAACCCTCGTAGCAGTGTTCTGGAAACCTGTGTGAGGGACAAACATTGAGACTACATCAGGAGTGATCTGGAATCCCCTTTGAGGAACAAGTGTTCATACTCTCTTATTAGTGTTCTGCAATTCTATGTGAAGAACAAAAATTTAGACCCCAGCAGCAGTGTTCTGTAATCTTATGTGAGGCACAATCATCCAGACCCTCATTGCAGTGTACTGGAATCCTATATGAGGGATAAACAATCGTAGCAGTGTTCTGGAATTCTTTGAGTGGGACAAACATTCAGAACCCAGGAGCAGTGTTCTGGAAACTTAAGTGAGTAACAAACATTCAGACCACGGCTGGTTTGTTCTGGAATCCCCTGTGAGGGACAAACATTCAGACCACTGCAGGATTGTTCAGGAATCCTATCTGAGGGACAAACATGCAGACCCTCACAGCAGTGTTCTGGAATCCTATATGAGGAATAAGCATTCAGACCATCGTAGCAGTGTTCTGGAATTCTGTGTGAGAGACAAACATTCAGACCCAAGAAGCAGTATTCTGCAATCCTACGTGAGAGAAAAACATTCTAACAACAGCTGGAGTGTTCTGGAATCCTATGTTACGGACAAACATTAGACCCCCGTCGCAGTCTTCTGCAAATCTATATGAGGGAGAAACACTCAGAACCCAGCAGTAGTGTTCTGGAATCCTATGTGACTGACATACATGTAGACCCAGCAGTAGTGTTCTGGAATCCTATGGGAAGGAAAAACATTCAGACCCCAGCATCAGTGTTCTGCAATCCTATGGGAGGGACAATCATTCAGACCCTCGTAGCAGTGTGCAGGAATTCTGTGTGAGAATCAAACCTTCAGACCCTCATAGCAGTGTTCTGGAATCGTATGTGAGGAACAAACATTCAGACCCTCATAGGAGTGTTCTGGAATCCTGTGTGAGGTACAATCATTCAGACCCTCGTCACAGTGTTCTGTAATTCTATGTGAGGGAGAAACACTCAGAACCCAGGGGCAGGGTTCTGTAATCCTATGTGAGGGACAAACATTCAGACCTCAGCAGCGGTGTCTGGAATGCTACGTGAGGGAAAATCATTCAGACCCTCATAGCAGTGTTCTGGAATTCTGTGTGAGGGACAAAAATTCAGATCCTCATAGCAGTGTTCTGGAATCCTGTGTGAGGGACAAACATTGACAACACAACAGGATTGTTCTGGAATCCCCTGTAAGGAACAAACATTCAGAACCTCGTGGCAGTGTTCTGGAATCCTATGTGACGGACAAACACTTAGACCCCAACAGCAGTGTTCTGGAATGCTATGTGAGGGACAAACATTCAGACCCTTCCGGTAGTGTTATGAAATCCTATGTGAGGAAAAAACACTCAGAACCCAGCAGCAGTGTTCTGGAACCCTATGTGAGGGAACAACTTTCAGACCACAGCAGGATTGTTCTGGAATCCTGTGTAAGGGATAAACACTCAGAGCATGGCAGGAGTGTTTTGGAATCCTATGTGAGGGACAAACATTCAGACCCTAGTTGCAGTGTTCTGGAATCCAATGTGAGTGTCAAACAGTCAAACAACAGGGGTAGTGTTCCATAATCCTATGTTACAGACAAACATTCAGACCCTCGTTGCAGTATTCAGGAATCCTATGTTAGGGAAACACATTCAGACCCTCGTAGCACTGATCTGGAATCCTATGTGAGTGACAAACATTCAGACAATCATAGCAGTATTCTGGAATCCTCTGTGAGGGACAAACACCCAGACCCTCGTAGGATTTTTCTGGAATCCTATGTGAGGGACAAACATTCAGATAATCGTAGCAGTGTTCTGGAATCCTATGGGAGGGACAAAAACTCCGCCCCCAGTAGCAGTGCACTGGAATCCTATGTGAGGGACAAACATTCAAACAACAGCAAGAGTGTTGTGGGATGCTACGTTACAGAGAAACATTATGACCCTCGTCGCAGTGTTCTGGAATTCTATGTGAGGGAGAAACATACAGAACCCAGCAGCAGTGATCTGGAATCCTATGTGACGGCCATACATGTAGACCCCAGCAGCAGTGTTCTGGAATCC
The DNA here is from genome assembly GCF_000001405.40 of Homo sapiens. Lineage (NCBI taxonomy): Eukaryota > Metazoa > Chordata > Mammalia > Primates > Hominidae > Homo > Homo sapiens. The sequence continues at coordinate 7,027 of NW_021160013.1, forward strand.
TGTGTGAGGGACAAACATTCAGACCCTAGCAGCAGTGTTTTGGAATCCTATGTGTGTGACAAATATTCAGACCCTTGTAGCAGTGTTCCGGAATCTTATGTGAGGGACAGACACTGAGAATCTAGCAGCAGTGTTCTGCAACCCTATGTGAGGTACAGACATTCAGACTACAGCAGGAGTGTTCTGGAATCCTATGTGAGGGACAATCACTCAGACAATCGTAGCAGTGTTGGGGAATCCTAAGTGAGGGACGAAAATTCAGACCATCGTATCACTGTTCTGGATCCGAAGTGAGGGATAAATATTCAGACCACAGCAGAGTGTTCTGGAATCCACAGTGAGGGACAAACTTTCAGACCTTCTTTGCAGTGTTCTGGAATCCTACAGAGTGACAAACATTCAGACAATCGTAACAGTGTTCTGGAATCCTGTGTGAAGGAAAAACCTTCAGACTCAAGCAGCAGTGTTCTGGAATTCTATGTGAGAAACAAACATTCAAACAACAGCGGGAGTCTTCTGCAATCCTATGTTACGGACAAACATTCAGACCCTCGTCTCAGTTTTCTGGAGTTCTATGTGAGGGAGGAAGACTCAGAATCCTGCAGCATTGTTCTGGAATCCCATGTGACAGACATACATGTAGAGCCCTGCAGCCATCTTCTGGAATCCTACGTGAGGGACAAACATTCAGAACCCAGCAACAGTGTTCTGGAGTCCCATGTGAGGGACAATCATTCAGACCATTATAGCAGTGTTCTGGAATTCTGTGTGAGGGACAAACATTCTGACCCTTGTAGCTGTGTTCTGGAATCCTGTGTGAGGGACAAACATTCAGAACACAGCAGGAGGTTTCTGGAATCCCCTGTGAGGAGCAAATATTCAGAACCTCGTATCAGTGTTCTGGAATCCTATGTGATGGACGTACCTGTAGACCCCAGCAGCAGTGTTCTGGAATCCTACGTGAGGGACAATCATTCAAACCCTCATAGCAGTGTTCTGGAATCCTATGTGATGGACAAACATTTAGACGCCAGCAGCAGTATTCTGGAATCCTAGGTTTGGGACAAACACTGAGAACCTACTAGCAGTGTTCTGGAACCATATGAGAGGGACCAACGTTGAGACCCTCATAGGAGTGTTCTGGAATCCTGTGTGATGGATAAATATTCACAACACAAGAGGAGTGTTCTGGAATCCCCAGTAAGGAACAAACATTCAGAACCTCGTGGCAGTGTTCTGGAATCCTATGTGAAGGACAAACATTCAAACTACAGCGAGAGTGTTCCGGAATACTACTTTATGGAGAAACATTCAGGCTCTCGTCGCAGTGTTCTGGAATTCTATGTGAGGGAGATACATTCAGAACCCAGCAGCAGTGATCTGGAATCCTATGTGACAGCCATACATGTAGACCCCAGTAGCAGTGTTCTGGAATCCTGTGTGAGGGACAAACACTGAGACCCCAGCAGCAGTGTTTTGGAATCCTATGTGTGTGACAAATATTCAGACCCTTGTAGCAGTGTTCCAGAATCCTATGTGAGGGACAAACACTGACAATCTAGAAACAGTGTTCTGCAACCCTATAAGAGGGACAGACATTCAGACCACAACAGGAGTGTTCTGGAATCCTATGTGAGGGACAAACATTCAGACCCTCGTATCACTGTTCTGGATCCTAAGTGAGGGACAAACTTTCAGACAATCGTAGCAGTGTTCTAGAGTCCTAAGAGAGGAACGAACATTCAGACCCTCGTATCACTGTTCTGGATCCTAAGTGAGGGACAAACATTCAGACCACAGCAGAGTGTTTTGGAATCCACAGTGAGAGACAAACTTTCAGACCCTCGTTGCAGTGTTCTGGAATCCTATGGAGTGACAAACATTCAGACAATCATAGCAGTGTTCTGGAATCCTGTGTGAAGAAAAAACTTTCAGACTCAAGCAGCAGTGTTCTGGAATCCTATGTGAGGGACAAACATTCAAGCAACAGCGGGAGTCTTCTGGAATCCTACGTGAGGGACAAACATTCAAACAACAGCGGGAGTCTTCTGGAATCCTAAGTTATGGACAAACATTCAGATCCTCGTCGCAGTCTTCTGGAATTCTTTGTGAGGGAGGAACACTCAGAATCCTGCAGCATTGTTCTGGAATACCATGTGACGGACATACCTGTAGACCCCTGAAGCCGTGTCATGGAATCCTATGTGAGGGACAAACATTCAGAACCCAGCAGCAGTGTTCTGGAGTCCCATGTGAGGGACAATCATTCAGACCATCGTAGCAGTGTTCTGGAATTCTGTGTGAGAGACAAACCTTCAGACCCTTGTAGCAGTGTTCTGGAATCCTAAGTGACGGACAAACATTTAGACCTCAGCAAAAGTATTCCGGAATCCTATGTGAGTTACAAACATTGAAACAACAGCGGGAGTGTTCTGGAATCCTTTATTGCAAACAAACTTTCAGAACCTTGTCGCAGTGCTCTGGAGTTCTATGTGAGGGAGAAAGACTCAGAACCCAGCAGCAGTGCTCCGGAATCCTATGTGACAGACACACATGTATACCCCAGCAGCAGTGGTATGGAATCCTATGTGAGGGACAAACATTCAGACCAAGACAGCATTGTTATGGAAAACTATGTGAGGAAAAATCATTCAGACTCTCATAGCAGTGTTCTGGGATTCTGTGTGAGGAACAAACATTGAGACCCTCGAATGTGTGTTCTGGAATCCTATGTGAGGGGAAAACATTCAGGCCACGGTAGCAGTGTTCTGGAATCCTATGTGAGAGACAAACATTCAGAAACTCATAGCAGTGTTCCGGAATCCCATGTGAGGGACAACCAGTCTGACAATCGTAGAAGTGTTCTGGAATCCTACATGACTGTCATACATGTAGACCCCAGCAGCAGTGTTCTGGAATCCTATGTGAGAGACAAACATTCAGACTCCAGCAGCAGTGTTTTGGCATCCTATGTGAGGGACAATCATTCAGACCCTCTTAGCAGTGTTCTGGAATTATGAGTGAGGGACAAACATTAAGACGCCTGCAGCAGTGTTCTGGAATCCTGTGTGAGGGACAAACATTCAGACCACAACAGGATTGTTCTGGAATCCGATGTGAGGAAAAATCTTTCAGACCCTCTTAACATTGTTCAGGAATCCCATGTGAGGGACAAACATTGAGACCACAGCAGTAGTGTTCTTTAATCCTATGTGAGGGACAAATATTCAGACCCTCATAGCAGTGTTCTGGAATCCTATGTGAGGGACAAACATTGAGAGAATCGTGGCAGTGTTCTGGAATCTTACGTGAGGGAGAAACATTCAGACCGCAGCAGCTGTGTTCTGGAATCCTATGTAAGGGACAATCATTCAGACCCTCATAGCAGTGTTCTGGAATTCTGTGTGATTGACAAAGTTTCAGAACCTCGTAGCAGTGTTCTGGAATCCTATATGAGGGACACACATTCAGATCCCAGCAGCAGTGTTCTGGAATCCTATTTGAGGGACAATCATTCAGATCCTCATAGCAGTGTTCTGGATTCTGGGTCAGGGACAAACGTTCATACCCTCGTGTCATTATTCTGGAATCCTGTGTGAGGAAAAAACATTCAGACAACAGCAGGATTGTTGTGGAATGCCCGGTGAGGAACAAACATTCAGACCCTCGTAGCAGTGTTCTGGAATCCTATGTGACTGACAAACATTTAGACAACAGCAGCAGTGTTCTGGAATCCTATGTGAGGGACAATCATTCAAACAACAGCGGGAGTGTTCTGGAATCCTATGTTTAGGAAAATCATTCAGACCCTCGTCGCAGTGTACTGGAATTCTATGTGAGGGCAAACATTCAGACCACAGCAGTAGTGTTCTGGTATCCTACGTGAGGGACAAACATTCAGACCCTCATAGAAGTGTTCAGGAATCCTATGTGAGGAACAAACATTCAGACCACAGCAGGAGTGTTCTGCAATCCCCTGTGAGGAAGAAACATTCATACCCTCGTAATGGTCTTCTGGAATCCTATGTGATGGGCAAACATTTAGATCACAGCAGCAGTGTCCTGGAATCCTATGTGAGGGACAATCATTCAGACACTCGTAACATTGTTCTGGAATCCTAAGTGAGGGACAAAAATTCAGACAATCCTAGCAGTGTTCTGGAAACCTATGTGTGGGCCAAACATTCGGACCCCAGGGACAGTGTTCTGCAATCCTATGTGAGGGAAAAACATTCAAACAACTGCGGGATTGTTCTGACATCCTATATTATGGACAAAGATTCCGACACTCTTCACAGTGATCTGGAGTTATATGTGAGTGAGAAACACTCAGATCCCAGCAGCAGTGTTCTAGAATCCCATGTGATGGACATACATGTAGACCCCAGCGGAAGTGTTCCAGAATCCTATGTGAGAGACAAAGATTCAGACCCCAGAAGCAGTGTTCTGCAATCCTATGTGAGTGACAATCATTCAGAAATTCGTAACAGTGTTCTGGAATTCTGTGTGTGGGAGAATCATTCAGTCCCTCATAGCAGTGTTCTGGAATTCTGTGTGAGGGAAAAACATTCAGACCCTCGTAGCAGTGTTCTGAAATCCTTTGTGAGGGACATTCAGACAACAGCAGTAGTGTTCTGGAATCCTCTGTGAGGAACAAACGTTTAGACAGTCGTAGCAGTGTTCTGGAATCCTACGTGACAGACAAACTTTTAGACCCCAGCAGCAGTGTTCTGGAATCCTATGCGAGGGACAAACATTCAGACAATGGTAAAAGTGTTCTGAAATCCTATGTGAGGGACAAACACTCAAAACCCAGCAGCAGTATTCTTGAATGCTATGTGAGGGACAAACTTTCAGACCACAGCAGGAGTGTTCTGGAATCCTATGTGAGGGACAATCATTCAGACCCTCGTAGCAGTGTTCTGGAATTCTGTGTGAGAGACAAACATTCAGACCCTCGTAGCGGTGTTCTGGAATCCAATGTGACGGACAAAAATTCAGACCACCACAGGAGTGTTCTGGAATCCTCTGTGAGGGAGAAACATTCAGAACCTAGTAGCAGTGTTCTGGAATCCTATGTGAGGAATAAACACTCGGAACCAAGCAGCAGTGTTCTGGAAAACTATGTAATAGACAAACATTCAGACCAGAGTAGGATTGCTCTGGAATCCTATGTGTTGGACACACATTCAGAACACAGCAGGAGTGTTTTGGAATCCTATGTGAGGGACAAACATACAGACCCTCGTAGCAGTGTTCTGGAATCCAATGTGATTGACAAATATTCAGACCACAGCAGGAGTGTTTTGGAATCCTATGTGAGGGACAAACATACAGACCCTTGTAGCAGTGTTCTGGAATCCAATGTGATTGACAAATATTCAGACCACAGCAAGAGTGTTGTGGAAACTACTGTGAGGAACAAACATTGAGATCCACGTAGCAGTGTTCTGGAATCCTATGTGAGGGACAAACATTTAGACTCCAGCAGGAGTGTTCTGGAATCCCAAGTGTGGTACGAACATTCAGACCATCGTAGCCGTGTTCTGATACTCTATGTGAAGGACAAACTTTCAGACAATAGTAGGAGTGTTCTGGTATCCTAAGTGAGGGACAAACATAAGAGCCCAGCAGCAGTGTTCTGGAATCCTATGTGATGGACAATCATTCCGAACCTCGTAGCAGTGTTCTGGAATTCTCTTTGAGGGACAAATATTCAGACACTCGTAGTAGTATTCTGGAATCCTGTGTGAGGGACAAACATTCAGACGACAGCAGGAGTGTTCTGGAATACCTCGTGAGAAACGAACATGCAGACCCTCGTGTTCTGGAATCCTTTGTGACAGAAAAACATTTTTACCCCAGCGGTAGTGTTCTGGAATCCTACGTGAGGGACAATCATTCAGACCCTCGTAGCAGTGTTCTGGAACCCTATGTGAGGGACAAAAACTCAGACCCCAGCAGTAGTGTTTTCGAATCATATGTGTGGGACAAACATTGAAACAACAGCACTAGTGTCCTGGAATCATATGTTTCATGCAAACATTCAGACCCTCGTTGCAATGCTCTGGAATTCTGTGGGGAAAAGCAAGAGAGATCAGATTGTTACTGTGTCTGTGTAGAAAGAAGTAGACATAGGAGACTCCATTTTGTTCTGTACTAAGAAAAATTATTCTGCCTTGAGATTCTGTTAATCTATGACCTTACCCCCAACCCCGTGCTCTCTGAAATATGTGCTGTGTCAAACTCAGGGTTAAATGGATTAAGTGTTGTGCAAGATGTGCTTTGTTAAACAGTTGCTTGAAGGCAGCATGCTCCTTAAGAGTCATCACTACTCCCTAATCTCAAGTACCCAGGGACACAAAAACTGCGGAAGGCCGCAGGGAACTCTGCCTAGGAAAGCCAGGTAGTGTCCAAGGTATATCCCCATGGGATAGTCTGAAATATGGCCTTATGGGAAGGGAAAGACCTGACCGTCCCCCAGCCCGACACCCGTAAATGGTCTGTGCTGAGGAGGATTAGTATAAGAGGAAGGCATGCCTCTTGCAGTTGAGACAAGAGGAAGGCATCTGTCTCCTGCCCGTCCATGGGCAATGGAATGTCTCGGTATAAAACCCGAATGTACGTCCCATCTACTGAGATAGGGAAAAACCGCCTTAGGGCTGGAGGTGGGACATGCGGGCAGCAATACTGCTTTGTAAAGCATTGAGATGTTTATGTGTATGCATATCTAAAAGCACAGCACTTGATTCTTTACCTTGTCTATGATGCAAAGACCTTTGTTCACGTGTTTGTCTGCTGACCCTATCCCCACTATTGTCTTGTGACCCTGACACATCACCCTCTCGGAGAAACACCCACAAATGATCAATAAATACTAAGGGAACTCAGAGGCTGGCGGGATCCTCCATATGCTGAACGCTGGTTCCCTGGGTCCCCTTATTTCTTTCTCTATATTTTGTCTCTGTGTCTTTTTCTTTTCCATGTCTCTCATTCCACCTAACAAGAAAAACCCACAGGTGTGGAGGGGCAACCCACCCCTTCAGAATTCTATGTGAGGGAGAAAATTCAGACCCCAGCAGCAGTGTTCTGGAATCCGACGTGAGGGACAATCACTCAGACACTCGTATCAGTGTTCTGCAATTCTGTGTGAGGACGAACATTCAGACCACAACAGGGATGTTCTGGAATCCTATGTGAGGGACAAACATTCGGACCCCAGATGTAGTGTTTTCGAATACTATGTGTGGGACAAACATTCAAACAACGGCGGGAGAATTATGGAATTCTATGTTTCGGACAAACATTCAGACCCTCGTAGCATTGTTCTGGAATCCTATGTGACGGACTAACATTTAGACCCTGCAGCAGTGTTCTGGAAACCTATGTGATGGACATGCATGTAGACCCCAGCAGCAGTGTTCTGGAATCCTATGTGATTGACAAATGTTCAGACCCCCGCAGCAGTGTTCTGGAATCCTATGTGATTTGCAATCATTCAGACCCTCATAGCAGTGCTCTGGAATTCTGTGTGAGGGACAAGCATTCAGACCCTCTTAGAAGTTTTCTGGAATCCTATGTGAGGGACAAACATTCAGACCCCTGCAGCAGTGTTCTGGCATCGATGTAAGGGACAATCATTCAGACCCACACAGCACTGTTCTGGAATTCTGCTTCAGGGCCAACATTCAGACCACAAAAGGAGTGTTCTGGAATCACCTGTGAGGAACAAACTTTCAGAACCCCGTAGCAGTGTTCTGGAATCCTATGTGTCAGACAAACATTTAAACCCCAGCAACAGTGTTCTGGAATCTTATGTGAGGGAGAAATATTCAGACAATCGTAGCAGTGTTCTGGAATCCTGTGTAAGGGACAAACTTTCTGATCCAAGCAGCAGTGTTCTGGAATCCTATGTGAGGGACAAACATTCAAACAACAGCGGGAGTGTTCTGGAATCCTATGTTACAGACAAACATTCAGGTTCTCGTCACAGTGTTCTAGAATTCTCTGTGAGGGAGAAACACTCAGAACCCAGCTGCAGTGTTCTGGAATCCTATGTAGTGGACATACATGTAGACCCCAGAAGCAGTGCTGTGGAATGCTGCGTGAGGAACAATCATTCAGACCCCAGCAGCAGTGTTCTGGAATATTGCTTGAGGGACAATCATTCAGACCCTCGTAGCAGTGTTCTGGAGTCCAGTGTGAGGGACAAATATTCAGATCACAACAGGAGTATTCTGGAATCCCCTATGAAGAACAAACATTCAGGCTATCGTAGCAGTGTTCTGGAATCCTATGTGACTGACAAACATTGAGACCCCAGCAGCAGTGTTCTGGAGTGCTACGTGAGGGACAAACATTCAGACACTAGTAGCAGTGTTCTGGAATCCTATGTGAGGGACAAACACTAAGAACCCAGCAGCATTTTTCTGGGTCCCTATGTGAGGGACAAATACTCGGAACACAGCTTCAGTGTTTTGCCATTTTATGTGAGGGACAAACATTCAGACCCTCATAGAAGTGTTCTGGAATCCTATGTGAGGGACAAACTTTCCGACAATTATAACAGAGTTCTGTAATCCTACGTTAAGGACAAATATTCAGACACTCGTAACAGTGTTCTGGAATCGTATGTGAGGGACACACATTCAGACAATTGTAGCAGTGTTTTGGAATCCTATGTGAGGGACAAACATTCAGAAGCCAGCACAAGTGTTCTGGAATCTTCTGTGAGGGAAAAACATTCAATCAACAGCGGGAGTGTTCTGGAATCCTATGTTATGGACAAACATTCAGATGCTCATCGCAGTGTTCTGAAATTGTATGTGAGGGAGGAACACTGAGAACCCAGCAGCAGTTTTCTGGAATCCTATATGATGGATGTACTTGTAGACCCCAGCAGCAGTGTTCTAGAATCCTATGTGAGGGACAAACATTCAGACCTTCGTCGAATTGTTCTGGAATCCTATAAGAGGGACAAACACTCAGAAACCAGCAGCAGCATTCAGGAACCCTATGTGAGGGACAAACATTCAGACAACAGCAGGATTGTTCTGGACTCCTATGTGAGTAACATACACTCAGAAAACAGCAGGAGTGTTTTGGAATCCTATGTAAGGGACAAACATTCAGATCCTCACAGCAGTGTCCTGGATTTCTGCGTGAGGGACAAACATTCAGACCCCCATAGCAGTGTTCTGGAATCCTATGTTAGAGAGAAACATTCAGACCACAGCAGGAGTGTTCTGGAATCTCCTGTGAGGAACAAACATTCAGACTCCCCTAACAGTGTTCTGAAATCTTATGTGACTGACAAACATTTAGACGCCAGCAGCAGTATTCTGGAATGCAATGTGAGGGACAAATATTGAGACCCTCGTAGCAGTGTTCTGGTATCCTATCTGAGAGACAAACTCTCAGAACCAAGCAGCGGTGTTCTGGAAAATTATGTAAGGGATAAGGATTCAGACCAGATCTGGTATGCTCTGGAATTCTATGTGAGGAACAAACTCTCAGAATACTGCAGGAGTGTTTTGGAATCCTATGTGAGGGACAAACATTCAGACCCTCGTAGCAGTGTTCTGGAATCCCATGTGATTGACATTCAGACCACAGCAGGAGTGTTCTGGAATCCCCTGTGAGGACCCAACATTCAGACCTCTGTAGCAGTGTTCTGGAATCCTAAGTGAGAGACAAACATTTAGACCCCAGCAGCAATGTTCTGGAATCCTATGTGAGGGACAAACATTCAGACCCTCGAAGCAGTGTTCTGGAATCCAATGTGTGGGATAAACATTCAGACAATAGTAGCAGTGTTCTGTAATCCAATGTGAGGGACACACATTCAGGCCCTCGTCGGAATGCTTTGAATTCTATGTGAGGGACAAACACTGAGACAATCTTAGTACTATTCAGGAATCCTCTGTGAGGTACAAATTTTTAGACCACAGCAGAAGTGTTCTGCAATCCTATTTGAGGGACAAACATTCAAACAACAGAGGGAATCTTCTGGAATCCTATGTTACGGACCAACATTCAGACCCTCGTTGCAGTGTTCTGGAATTCTATGTGAGGGAGAAACAAGTAGAACCTATCAGCTGTGTTCTGGAATCCTGTGGGGGGGACATACATGTAGACACCAGCAGCGGTGTTCTGGAATCTTATGTGAGGGACAAACATTCAGAACCGAGCAGCAGTGTTCTGGAACTCTGTATGAGGGACAAACATTAAGAACACGGCAGGATTGTTCTGCAATCCTATGTGAGGGAGAAACACTCTGAAAACCGTAAGTGTGTTTTGGAATCCTACATGAGGGCCAAACAATCAAACCCTCATAGCTGTGTTCCGGAATCCTATGTGAGGGGCAAACACTCAGACAATCGTAGCAGTTTTCTGGAATCCTTTGTGAGGGACAAGCATTCATTCCCTCGTAGCGGTGTTCGGGAACCCTGTATGAGGGACAAACATTCAGACCACACCGTTCTGGAATCCCCTCTGTGGGAAAAACATTCAGACCCTCGTGGCAGTGTTCTGGAATCCTATGTGACGGACAAAGATTTAGACCACAGCAGCAGTGTTCTGAAATCCTATGTGAGGGACATTCAGACCCTCTTAGCAGTTTTCTGGAATCTTATGTGAGGGACAATCATTCAGACCTCAGCAGGAGTGTTCTGGAAAACCCATGTGAGGGACAAACACTCAGACTACAGCAGGAGTGTTCTGGAATCCCCTGTGAGGGACAAACATTCAGACTGTCGTAGGGGTGTTCTGCAATCCTATGTGACGAACAAACATATAGAATCCAGCAGCATTGTTCTGGAATCCTATGTAGGAGACAAACATTCAGACAATAGTAGCAGTGTTCTGGAATCCTATGTGAGGGGCAAACATTCAGACCACAGCAGCAGTGTTCTGGAATCCTATGTGAGGGACAAACATTCAAACAACAGCGAGAGTGTTCTGGAATCCTAAGTTATGGACAAACACTCAGACCCTCGTGGCAGTGTTCTGGAATTCTATGTGATGGAGAAACACTCAGAATCCAGCAGCAGTGTTCTGGAATCCTATATGACGGAGATACACGTACACCCCAGCAGCAGTGTCCTGGAATCCTATGTGAGAGACAAACTTTCAGACCCCAGGAGCAGAGTTCTGGAATCCTACATGAGGGATAAACATTCAGACCCTCTTAGCAGTTTTCTTAATCACTATGTCAGGGACAAAGATTCAGACCTCAGCACCATTGTTCTGGAATCCTACATGAGGCTCAAACATTCAGACCCTCGTTGCAGTCTTCTGGAATCCTGTGTAAGAGACAATCATTCAGACAACAGCAGGAGTCTTCTGGAATTCCCTGTGAGAAATAAACACTCAGATCCTCCTAGCAGTGTTCTGGAAACCTATATGACGGACAAACATTTAGACAACTGAAGCAGTGTTATGGAATCACATATGAGAGACAGACATTCAGAAACTTGTACCAGAGTTCTGGAATCCTTTGAGAGGGACAAACATTCAGAACCCAGCAGAAATGTTCCGGAATCCTATGTGAGGGACAAGCATTCAGACACTGGTAGCAGTGTTCTGGAATCCTAAGTGAGAGACAAACACTCCGAACCCAGCAGCATTGTTCTGGAACCCTATGTGAGGGAAAAACATTCATACCACAGAAAGATTGCCTTCGAATCCTATGAGAGGGACAAACACTCAGAACACAGCAGGAGTGTGTTGGAATCCTATGTGAAGGAAAAACATTGAGACCCTCGTAGCAGTGTTCTGGAATCCTATGTGAGGGACAAACATTCAGATCCTCGAAGCAGTGTTCTGGAATCTAATGTGAGGGATAAACATTCAAATAACAGCGGGAGTGTTCTGAAATCCTGTGTTACGGACAAATATTCAGACCATCGTGGCAGTGTTCTGGAATTCTATGTGAGGTAGAAACATTCAGAACACAGCAGCAGTGTTCTGGAAACCTATGCGACGGACATACATGCAGACCCCTGCAGGGGGGTTCTGGAATCCTATGTGAGGGACAAACATTCAGAAGCCTGCAGCAGTGTTATGGAATCTTATGTGAGGGACAATCATTCAGACTCTCGTAGCAGTGTTCTGGAATTCTGTGTGAGGGTAAAACATTCAGAACCTCATAGCAATTTTCTGAAATCCTATGTGAGGGACAAACATTCAGAACACAGCAGGAGTGTTCTCAAATCCTCTGTGAGGGAAAATCATTCCGACCCTCATAGCAGTGTTCTGGAATCCTGTGTGAGGGACAAACATTCAGACCCCAACAACAGTGTTCTGTAATCCTATGTGTTGGAGAATCATTCAGAACCCCATAGCAGTGCTCTGGAATTCTGTGTGAGGGACAAGTATTCAAGCTGTCATTGCAGTGTTCTGGAATCCCGTGTGAGGGACAAACATTCAGACACTGGTAGCAGTGTTCTGGAATCCAACGTGAGGGACAAACATTCAGACAACAGCAGGATTGTTCTGGAATCCTATGTGAGGGACAAGCATTCAGACAATCGTAGCAGTGTTCTGGAATCCCATGTGAGGGACAAACATTCAGACCTTCATAGCAGTGTTCTGGAATGGTATGTGATGGACAAACATTCAGACAATCATAGCATTGTTCTGGAATCCTATGTGAGGGACAAGCATTCAGACAATCGTAGCAGTGTTCTGTAATCCCCTGTGAGGAACAAACGTTCAGACAGTCGTAGCATTGTTCTGGAATATTATGTGAGGGACAAACATTCAGACAATTGTAGCAGTGTTCCGGAATCCTATGTGAGGGACAAACATTCAAACAACAGCGGGATTGTTCAGGAATCCTATGTTATGGACAAACATTCTGACCCTCGTAGCGGTGTTCTGGAATTCTATGTGAGGGAGAAACACTCAGAACCCAACATCAGTGTTCTGGAATCCTATGCGACGGACATACCTGTAGACCCCAGCAGCTCTATTCTAGAATCCTATGTGAGAGACAAACATTACGACCCCAGCAACAGTGTTCTGGAATCCTATGTGAAGGAAAGTCATTCAGACACTCGTACCAGTGTTCTGGAATTCTGTGTGAGGGACAAACATTCTGATGCCCGTAGCAGTGTTCTGTAGTCCTGTGTGAGGGAAAAACATTGAGACCACAGCAGGAGTGTTCCAGAATCCCCTGTGAGGAACAGACATTCAGACCCTCATAGGAGGGTTCTGGAATCCGGTGTGACGGACAAAAATCTAGACCCCAGCAGCAGTGTTCTGGAATCCTATGTGAGGGACAAACACTCAGAACCCTGCAGCAGTGTTCTGAAACCCTATGTGAGAGATAAATATTCCGACGACAGGAGGATAGTTTTGGAATCCTATGTGAGGGACAAACACTCAGAAAACAGCAGGAGTGTTCTGGAATCCTAAATGAGGGACAAACACTCAGAAAACAGCAGGAGTGTTCTGGAATCCTAAATGAGGGACAATCTTTCAGATCGTCATAGCAGTGTTCTACAATTTTGTGTGAGGGACAAACATTCACACCCCAGCAGAAGTGTTGTGGAATCCTAAATGAGGGACAAACATTCAAACCCTCATAGGAGTGCTCTGGAATAGTGTGTGACGGAGAAACTTTTAGACTCCAGCAGCAGTGTTCTGCAATCCTTTGTAAGGGAAAAACAATCAGACCCTCACAGCTGTGTTCTGGAATCCCATGTGATGGACAAACACTCAGAACCGAGCAGCAGTGTTCTGTAACTATATGTGAGGGGCAACCATTCAGAACACAGCAGGATTGTTCTGGAATCCTACATGAAGGACTGACACTCAGAGCACAGCAGGCGTGTTTTGGAATCCTATGTGAGGGACAAACATTCTGACACTCATAGCAGGGTTCTGGAATCCTACGTGAGTGACAAACATTCAGACAATCTTAGCAGTGTTCTGGAATACTATGTGAGGGACAAACATTCAGACACTCGTAACAGTGTTTTGGAATACTATGTTGCAGACAATCATTCGTATGCTCGTAGCAGTGTTCTGGAATCCTGTGTGAAGGACAAACATTCAGACCACAGCAGGATTGTTCTGGAATCCCCAGTGAGGAACAAACGTTCAGACCTTCATAGCAGTGTTCTGGAATTCTATGTGACGGACAAACATTTAGACCCCAGCAGCGGTGTTCTGAAATCCTATGTTAGTGACAAACATTCAGACCCTTGTAGGAATGTTCTGGAATCTATGTGAGGGACTTGCTTTAAGACCACAGCAGGAGTGTTCTGGAATCTCATGTGAGGTACAAGCATTTCCACTCTCATAGCTGTGTTCTGGAATCCTATGTGATGAACAAACATTTAGACCCCAGCAGCAGTGTTCTGGAATCCTACGTGAGGGAAAAACATACAGACCATCATAGCAGTGTATTGGAATCCTGTGGGAGGGACAAACATTCAGACAATCGAAGCAGTGTTCTGGAATCCTAAGAGAGAGACAAATATTCAGAACACAGAAGGATTGTTCTGGAATCCTATGTGAGGAGCAAACACTCAGAACACAGCAGGAGTGTTGTGGAATCCTATGTGAGGGACAAACTTTGAGACCCTCGTAGTAGTGTCCTGGAATCCTATGTGAGGGACAAACATGCAGACAATTGTAGCAGTGTTCTGGAATCCTATGTGATCGACAAACCTTCGAACAACAGTGGAAGTGTTCTGGAATCCTATGTTATGGACACACATTCAGAACCTTGTGGCAGTGTTCTGGAATTCTATTTGAGAGAGAAACATTCAGAGCCCAGCAGCAGTTTTCTGGAATCCTATGTGATGAACATACATGCAGACCACAGCAGCAGTGTTCTGGAATCTTATGTGAGGGACAAACATTCAGACAATTGTAGCAGTGTTCTGGAGTCCTCCGTGAAGGACAAACATTCGGAACCCAGCAGCAGTGTTCTGGAATCCAATGTGAGGGACAAACATATAAATCACGGGGGGGGAGTTTTCTGGAATCCTATGTTACGGACAAACATTCAGAACCTCGTCGCAGTGTTCTGGAATTCTATGTCAGGGAGAAACAGCCAGAACACAGTAGCAGGGTTTTGGAATCCTATGTGACGGACACACATATAGACCCCAGCAGCAGTGTTCTGGGATCCTATGTGAGAGACAAACATTCAGCACCTCGTCACAGTGTTCTCGAATCCTATGTGAGGGACAATCATTCAGATCCTCGTAGCAGTGTTCTGGAATTCTGTATGAGATACAATCATTCAGACCCTCGTAGCAGTGTTCTGGAATCCTAAGTGTGGGACAAATATTCAGACAATAGTAGTAGTGTCCTGGAAATCTATGTGAGGGACACACATTCAGACCCTCTTAGGAGTGGTCTGGAATCTTATATGAGAGACAAACATTCAGACAATCGTAGCAGTGTTCTGGAATCCTCGGTGAGGGACAAACATTCGGAACCCAGCAGCAGTGTTCTGGAATCCAATGTTATGGACAAACATTCAGAGACTCCTCGCGGTGATCTGGAATTCTATGTGATGGAGAAACACTGAGAAACCAGCAGTATTGTTCTGGAATCTGATGTGACGGACATACATTTAGACCAGAGCAGTAGAGTTGTGGAATCCTATATTGGGGCAAACATTCAGTCCCCAGCAGCATTGTCCTGCAATCCTTTGTGAGGGACAAACATTCAGAACCCAGCAGCAGTGTTCTGGAATCCTATGTGAGGCACCATCATTCAGACCCTCGAAGCAGTGTTCTGGAATTTTGTGTGAGGGGCAAACATTCAGACCCTCGTAGCAGTGTTCTGCAATCCTGTGTGAGGTACTATTATTCAGATGATGGCAGGAGAGTTCTGGAATCCCCTGTGAGGAACAAACATTCAGACCCTCCTAGCAGTGTTCTGTAACCCTATTTGAGGGACAGATATTCAGACGACAGCAGGGTTGTTCTGGAACCCTATGTGGGGGACAATCACCCAGAACACATCAGTAGTGTTTTGGAATCCTATCTGAGGGACAAACATTCAGACCCTAGTAGCACTGTTCAGGAATCCTATGTGAGGGACAAACATTCAGACAATGGTAGCATTGTTCTGGAGTCTTATGTGAGGGACAAACATTCAGACCCCAGCAGCATTGTTCTGGAATCCTATGTGGGGTTCAAACATTCAAACAACAGCGGGATTGTTCTGGAATCCTATGTTACGGACAAACATTCAGACCATCGTAGCAGTGTTCTGGTATTCTATGTGAGGGAAAAACACTGAGAATACAGCAGCAGTGTTCTGGAATCCGATGTGTGGGACAAACATTCAGACCCCAGCAGCAGTGTTCTTTAATCCTATTTGAGGGACAATCATTCAGACTCTCATAGCTGTGTTCTGGAGTTCTGCATAAGGGACAATCGTTCAGACCCACGTAGCAGTGTTCCGGAATTCTGTGTGATGGAGAAACCTTAATTACTTCATAGCAGTGTTATGGAAGCCTATCTGTGGGACAAACATTCAGACCACAGCAGGAGTGTTCTGGAACACTAAGTGTTCTCAAATCCTATGTGAGGAACAAACATTCAGACCCTCGCAGCAATGTTCTGGAATCCTATGTGACGGACAAACATTTGGACTGCAGCAGCAATGTTCTGGAATCCTATGTGAGGGACAAACTTTCAGAAAATCGTTGCAGTGGTCTGGTATCCTAGGTGAGGGACAAACATTCAGAACCCAGCAGCAGTGTTCTGGAATCCAATGTGAGGGACAAACATTCAAACAACAGAGGGAGTGTTTTGCAATCCTAGGTAAAGGACAAATATTTAGACAACAGGAGCAGTGTTCTGGAATCCTGTGGGAAGGACAAACATTAGGACCCTCAGTATAGTGTTCTAGAATCTTATGTGAGAGAAAAACATTGAGACAATCATAGCAGTGTTCTAGAATCCTTTGTGACGGACAAATATTTAGACCCCAGCAGCATTGTTCTGGAATCCTATGTGAGGGACGAACATTAAAATCACAGCGGGAATGTTCTGGAATCCTTTGTTACGGGCAAACATTCAGATCCTCGTCGCAGTCTTCTTGAATTACATGTGAGGGAGAAACACTCAGAACCCACCAGCAGTGTTCTGGAATCCTTAGCGACAGACATACATGCAGACATCAGTAGCAGTGCTCTGGGATCCTATGTGAGGGACAAACTTTCAGACGGCAGCAGCAGTGTTCTGGAATCCTGTGTGAGGGACAATCACTCAGACCCTCGTAGCTGTGTTCTGGAATTCCGTGTGATGGACAAACATTCAGACCCTCATAGCAGTGTTCTGGAAACCTATGTGAGGGACAAACATTCAGACCACAGCAGGCATGTTCTGGAATCCTCTGTGAGGAAGAAACATTCAGACCCTCGTAGCAGTGTTCTGGAATCCTATATGACAGACAAACATTTAGACCCCAGCAGCAGTGTTCTGGAATCCTGTGTGAGGGACAAACATTCACACCCTCGGAGCAGTGTTCTAGAATCCTATAAAGGGACAAACACTCAGAACCCAGCAGCCGTGTTCTGGAACCATATGTGAGGGACAAACACTGAGAACACAGCAGGATTGTTTTGGAATGCTATGTGATGGAGAAACATTCAGGCACTCGTAGCAGTGTTCTGGAATCCTAAGTGAGGGACAAACATTCAGACAATCGTAGCAGTGTTCTGGAATCCTATGCTAGGGAAAAACATTCAGACCCCAGTAGCAGTGTTCTGGAATCCTATGTGAGGGAAAAACATTCAAACAACAGCGGGAGTGTTCTGAAATAGTATGTTATTGACAAACATTCAGACCCTTGTCACAGTGCTCTGGAATTCAAGTGAGGGGGAAACACACAGAACCCAGCAGCTGTGTTCTGGAATCCTGTGTGACGGACATACACATAGACCCCAGCAGCGGTGTTCCGGAATCCTATGTGACGGACAAACATTCAGACTCCAGCAGCAGTGTTCTGGAATCCTCTGTGAGGGACCATCATTCAGACTCTCGTAGTAGTGTTCTGGAATTCTGCGTGAGGGGCAAACATTCAGACCATCGTGGCAGTGTACTGGAATCCTGTGTGAGGGATAGTCATTCCGAACACAGCAGGAGTATTCTGGAATCCCCTGTATGGAAAAAACATTCAGACCCTAGCAGCAGTGTTCTGGAATCCTATGTGAGGGACAAACATTTAGACCCCAGCAAAAGTGTTCTGGAATCCTGTGTGAGGGACAAACATTCAGACTTTCGTAGCAGAGTTCTGGAATCCTATCTGAGGGGCAAACACTCAGAAACCAGCACCAGTGTTCTGGAACCCGATGTGAGGGACAAACATTCAGACCACAGCAGGATTGCTTTGGGATCCCATGTGTGGGAAAAACAGAAAACAGCGGGAGAGTATTGGAATCCTATGTGAGGGACAAAACATTCAGACCCTCTTTGCAGTGCTGCGGAATCCTATGTGAGGGACAAACTTTCAGAAAATCACAGCAGTGGTCTGGAATCTTATGTGAGAGACAAACATTCAGAACTCAGCACCAATGTTCTGGAATCTTATGTGAGAGACAAACATTCAGAACTCAGCACCAATGTTCTGGAATCCTATGTGAGAGACAAACATTCATACAACAGCGAGAGTGTTCTGCAATCCTAGGTAATGGACAAACATTTAGAAACCAGCAGCAGTGTTGTGGAATCCTATGAGAGGCACAAACATTCAGACCTTAGTAGAGTTATTCTGGAATCCCATGTGAGGGACAAACATTCAGAACCTCGTCGCAGTTTTCTGGAATTCTGTGTGAGGCAGAAACACTCTGAACCCAGAAGCAGTGTTCTGGAATCCTCTATGACAGACACACATGTAGACCTCAGCAGCTGTGTTCGGGAATCCTATGTGAGGGACAAGCATTCAGACCGCAACAGCATTATTGTGGAATCCCAAGTCAGGGACAATCATTCAGACCCTCGTAAGAGTGTTCTGGAATTTTGTGTGAGAGACAAACATTCAGACACTCATAGCAGTGTTCTGGAAAGCTATGTGAGGGAGAAACATTCAGACAACAGTAGGCGTGTTCTGGAATCCCCTGTGAGGAAAAACATTCATACCCTCGTAGCAGTGTTCTGGAATCCTATGTGATGGACAAACATTTAGACCCCATCAGCAGTGTTCTGGAATCCCGTGTGAGCAAAAAACATTCAGACGCTAGAAGCAGTGTTCCGGAGTCCTATGTAGGAACAAACACTCAGAACCCAGCAGCACTGTTCTGGAACGCTATGTGAGGGACAAAGATTCAGACCACAGCAGGATTATACTGGAGTCCTATGTGAGGGACAAACACTCAGAACAGAGCAGGAGTGTTTTGGAATCCTATGTGTCAGACAAACATTCAGACACTCATAGCAGTGTTCTGGAATCCAATGCAAGAGACAAACTTTCAGACCACAGCAGCAGTGTTGTGGAATCCTCTGTGAGGAACAAACTTTCAGAATATCGTAGCAGTGTTCTGGAATCCTATGTGAGGGACAAACATTGAGATCCCAGCAGCAGTGTGCTGGAATCCTATGTGAAGGACAAACATTCAAACAACAGCGAGAGTGTTCTGGAATCCTAACAAGTAGACAAACATTTAGACACCAGCAGCAGTGTTCTGGAATCCTATGTGAGGAAAAACATATTCAGACCCTCGTAGGGTTATTCTGGAATCCTATATGAGGAACATATATTCAGACCCTCATAGGATTATTCTGGAATCCTATGTGATTCAGACACCAGGAGCAGTGTTCTGGAATCCTATGTGTGAGACAAACATTCAAACAACAGTGTGAGTGTTCACGAATCCTATGTGACGGACAAACATTCAGACCTTCCTCGCAGTGTTTGGAATTCTATGTGAGGGAGAAACACTCAGAACCCAGCAGGAGTGCTCTGGAATCCTATCTGACGGACATACATGTAGACCCCAGCAGCAGTGTCCTCGAATCTCATGTGAGGGAGAAACATTCAGACCCCAGGAGCAGTGTTCTGGAATCCTATGTGAGGACAATGATTCAGGACCTCGTAGCAGTGTTCTGGTATTCTGTGTGAGGTACAAACTTTCAGACTCTCTTACCACTGTTCTGCAATCATGTGTGAGAGAAAAACATTCAGACCCACAGCAGGAGTGTTCTGGAATCACCTGTGAGGAACAAACATTCAGATCCTCCTAGCACTGTTCTGGAATCCTGTGTGACGGACAAACATTTAGACGCCAGCAGCAGTGTTCTGGAATCCTAATTGCGGGACAATCATTCAGACCCTTGTAGCAGTGTTATGGAATCCTTTGTGAGGGACAGACATTTAGAACCCAGCGACAGCATTCTGGAACACTATGTGAGTGAGAAACATTCAGACCACAGCAGGATTGCTCTGGAATCCTATGTGAGGGACTAATATTCAGACCTTCGTAGCAGTGTTCTGGAATCCTAAGTGAGGGACAAACATTCAGACAACCGTAGCAGTGTTCCGGAATCCTATGTGAGGGACATTCATTCAGACGTTCGTAGCTGCATTGTGGAATTCTGTGTAAGAGCCATATATTGAGATCCTCAAAGCCGTGTTCTGGAATCCTACGTGAGGGACAAACATTCAGACCACAGGAGGATTGTTCTGGAATCCTCTGTGAGGAAAAAACATTCAGACCCTCGTAGCAGTGTTCTGGAATCCTATGTGAGGGACGAACCTTTAGACCCCAGCAGCAGTGCTCTTGAATCCTACGTGAGGAAAAAACATTCAGACACTCGTAGCTTTGTTCTCGAATCACATGTGAGGGACAAACATTCAGATAATCTTAGCCATGTTCTGGAATCCTATGTGAGGGACAAATATTCAGACCCCAGCAGCGTTCTGGAATCCTATGTGAGGAACAAACATTCAAACAACAGCGGGAGTGTTGTCGAATCCTATGTAACAGACAGACTTTCAGAACCTCGTCGCAGTGTTCTGGAATTCTGTGTTAGAGAGAAACACTCAGAAACCAACAGGAGTGTTCTGGAATCCTATGTGATGGACATACATGTAGACGCCAGCAGCAGTGTTCTTGAATCATATGTGAAGACAAACATTCAGATCTCAAAAGCAGTGTTCTGGAATCCTCTGTGAGGGTCAATCATTCAGACCCTTGTAGCAGTGTTCTGGAGATGTTTGTGAGGGAGGAAGCTTCAGACCCCCATAGCAGCGTTCTGGAAGCCTATATGAAGGACAAACATTCGGACTAGAGCAGGATTGTTCTGGAATCCAATGGGAGGAACAAATATCCGGACCCTCGTAGCATAGTTCTGGAATCCTATGTGACGGACCAACATTTAGAGCCCAGCAGCAGTGCTCTGGAACCTCAAGTGAGGGACAAACATTCAGACACTCAGTGCAGTGTTCTATAATCCTATATGAGGGACAAACATTGAAACAATCGTAGTAGTGTTCAGGAACCTATGTGACGGACAAACATACAGACCCCAGCAGCAGTGTTTTCGAATCCTATGTGGGGGACAAACATTCAAACAACAGCAAGAGTGTTCTGGAATCCTCTGTTACAGAGAAACATTCAGATCCTCGTCGCAGTGTTCTGGAATTCTAACTGAGGGAGAAACACTCTGAACCCAGCAGCAGTGTTCTGGAACCCTATGTGACAGACATACATGTAGACCCCAGCAGCAGTGTTCTGGAATCCTATGTGAGGGACAAATATTCAGACAGCAGCCGTAGTATTCTGGAATCCTATGTGAAGGATAGTCATTCAGACCCTCATAGCAGTGTTCTGGAATTCTCTGTGTGGGACAAACATTCAGACCCTCATAGCAGTGTTCTGGAATCCCCGGTGAGGAACAAACATTCAGAGCCTCATATCAGTGTTCTGGAATCCTATGTGACGGACAAACATTAAGTCCCCAGAAGCAGTTTTCTGGAATACTGTGTGAGGAACAAACATTCAGACCCTGGTAGTAGTGTTCTGGAATCCTATGTGAGAGACAAACACTCAGAACCCAACAGCAGTGTTTTGGAACCCTATGTGAGGGTCAATCATTCAGGCCACAGCAGGATTATGCTGGAGTCCTATGTGAGGGACACTCAGAACATAGCAGGAGTGTTTTGGAATCCTATGTGAGGGAAAAACTTTCAGACACTCGTAGCAGTGTTCTGGAATCCTATGTGGGAGACAAACATTCATACAATCTTAGCAGTGTACGGGAATTCTTTGCGAGGGACAAACATTCAGACCCCAGCAGCAGTGTTCCAGAATCCTATGTGAGCTATAAACATTGATACAACAGTGGGAGTGTTCTGGAATCCTATGTTATGGACAAACATTCAGACCCTCGTCACAGTGTTCTGGAATTCTATGTGAGGGAGAAACACTCAGAACCCAGCAACAGTGTACTGGAATCCTATGTGACGGACATACATGTAGACCCGAGCAGCAGTGTTCTGGAATACTATGTGAGGGACAAACATTCATAACACGGCAGGAGTGCCCTGGAATCCTATGTGAGGGAAAACATTCAGACAATCGTAGCAGTGTTTTGGAATCTTATGTGAGGGACTAACTTTCAGACCCCATCAGCAGTGTTCTGGAATCCTATATGAGGGACAAACATTCAAACTACAGAGGCTGTGTTCTGGAATCCTAAGTTATGGACAAAAATTCAGATCCTCTCCGCAGTGCTCTGGAATTCTATTTGAGGGAGAAACAATCAGAACCCAGCAGCAGTGTTCTCGAATCCTACATGAGGGACATACATTCAGACCACAGCAGCAGTGTTCTAGAACCCTATGTGAGGGACAAGCATTCAGACCGTCGTAGCAGTGTTCTCGAATTCTGTGTGAAGGACAAAGATTCAGACCATCAGAGCAGTGTTCTGGAATCCTTTGTGAGGGACAAACATTCAGACCACAGCAAGAGTCTTCTGGAATCCACTGTGAGGAACAAACATTCAGAACCTCATAGCAGTGTTCTGGAATCCTATGTGATGGACAAACATTTAGACCTCAGAAGCAGTGTTCTGTAATCCTGTGAGAGACAAACATTCAGACACTCGTTGCAGTGTACAGGAATCCTGTGTGAGGGAAAAGAACTCAGAACCCAGCAACAGTGTCCTGGAACCCTATGTGAGGGACAAACATTCAGGCCACAGCAGGATTGTTCTGGAATCCTACGTGAGGGACAAACACTCAAACACAGCGGGAGTGTTTTGGAATCCAATATGAGGGAGAAACATTCAGACCCTCATAGCAGTGTTCTGGAATCCTATGTGAGGGACAAACATTCAGAAAATCGTAGCCATGTTCTGGAATCTCAAGAAAGGGAAATAAATTCAGACCCCAGCAGCAGTGTTTTGTAATCCTATGTGAGGGAGAAACATTGAACCAAGATCGGGAGTGTTCTGCAATCCCTGGTTATGGACAAATATTCAGAACCTCGTCTCAGTGCTCTGGAATTCTATGTGAGGTAGAAACAGTGAGAACCCAGCAGCAGTATTCTGGAATCCTATGTGAGGGAAAATCATTCAGACCCCAGCAGGAGTGTTCTGGAATCCTATGGGAGGGACAATCATTCAGACAATCGTAGCAGTGTTCTGGAATCCTATGTGAGGGGCAAACATACAGACACTTGTAGCAGTGTTCTGGAATCCTATGTAAGTGACAAATATTCAGACCCTTGTAGCATTTTTCTGGAATCCTATGTGAGGGACAAACATTGAGACAATCGTAGCTGTGTTCTCGAATCCTATGTGAGGGAGAAACATTCAGACTACAACAGCAGTGTTCTGGAATCGTATGTGAGGGACAAACATTCCAACAACAGAGTGAGTGTTCTGGAATCCTAAGTTACGGACATACATTCAGAAATTCGTCTCAGTGACCTGGAATTCTATGTGAGGGTGAAACACTCAGAAACCGGCAGCAATGTTCTTAAATCCTATGTGACAGACATACATGTAGACGGTAACAGCAGTGTCCTGTAATTCTGTGTGATGGAAAAACATTCAGACACTCATAGCAGTGTTCTGGAATCCTATTTGAGGGACAAACATTCAGACCACAGCTGGAGTGTTCTGCAATCCCCTGTGAGTAACAAATATTCAGATCCTAGTAGCAGTGTTCTGGAATCCTATGAGGGACAAACATTCGGATCCTCTTAGCAGTGATCTGGAATCCTATGTGAGGGTAAATCATTCAGAACCTAGTTGCGGTGTTCTGGAATCCTATATGAGGGACAAACATTCGGATCCTCTTAGCAGTGTTCTGGAATCCTATGTAACGGACAAACATTAAGACCCCAACTGCAACTGCAGTGTTCTGGAATCCCATGTGAGGGACAAGCATTCAGACCCTTGTAGCAGTGTTCTGGATTCCTATGTGAGGGAGAAACACTCAAAACCCAGCAACAGTGTTCTGGAACCCTATGTGAGGGACAAACATTCACACCACAGCAGGATTGTTCTGGAATACTATGTGAGGGACAAACACTCAGAACATAGCAGGAGTGTTTTGGAATCGTATGTGAGGGACAAACATTCGGATCCTCTTAGCAGTGTTCTGGAATCCTATGTGACGGACATACATGTAGAACCCAGCAGCAGTGTTCTGAAGGCCTATGTGAGGGACAAACATTCAGACCCCAGGAACAGTCTTCGGGAATCGTATGTGAGGGTAAATCATTCAGAACGTCGTAGCAGTGTTCTGGAATTCTGTGTGAGGGACAAACATTCAGACCACAGCAGCAGTATTCTGGAATCCTATGTGAGGGAAAAACATTCAAACAACTGCAGGTGTGTTCTGGAATCCTATGTGAGGGAAAAACATTCAAACAACTGCAGGTGTGTTCTGGAATCCTATGACAAGGAAAAACATTCAGACCCTCCTCGCAGTGTTCTTGAATTCTATGTGAGGGAGAAACACTCCGATTCCTGTAGCAGTGTTCTGGAACCCTATGTGACAGACCTACTTGTAGACTCCAGCAGCAGTGTTCTGGAACCCTATGTGAGGGACAATCATTCCGACCCTCGTGGCAGTGTTCTGGAATTTTGTGTGAGGGATAAACATTCAGACCCCAGCGCGAGTGTTCTGGAATCCCACGTGAGTGACAAGCATTCAAAAAATCTTAGCAGTGTTCTGGAATCCTATATGAGAGACAAACTTTCAGACCCTCGTAGCAGTATTCTGGAATCCTATGTGGGGGCAAACATTCAATCATAGCAGTGTTCAGGAATCCTATGTGAGGGACAAACATTTAGACTGTCGTAGCAGTGTTCTGGAATCCTACGTGAGGGACAAGCATTGAGACAATCGTGGCAGTGTTCTGGGATCCTATGTGAGGGACAAACATTCAGACAATTGTAGCAGGGTTCTGGAATCCTATGTGAGGGACAAACATTCAAAAAACAGAGAGAGTGTTCTGGAACCCTATGTTACGGACAAACATTCAGACAATCGTAGCAGGGTTCTGGAATCCTATGTGAGGGACAAACATTCAAAAAACAGAGAGATTGTTCTGGAACCCTATGTTACAGACAAACATTGAGACCATCGTTGCAGTGTTCTGGAATTCCCTGTGAGGGACAAAAACTCGGAACCCAGCGGCAGTGTTCTGGAATTCCCTGTGAGGGACAAAAACTCGGAACCCAGCGGCAGTGTTCTGGAATCCTATGTGAGGGACAAACATTCAGACTCCAGCAGCAGTGTTCTGGAATCCCATGTGAGGGACAATCATTCAGACCATCATAGCCGTGTTTTGGAATT
Source organism: Homo sapiens (assembly GCF_000001405.40). Taxonomy (NCBI): domain Eukaryota; kingdom Metazoa; phylum Chordata; class Mammalia; order Primates; family Hominidae; genus Homo; species Homo sapiens. The sequence goes on from NW_021160013.1 coordinate 32,812, forward strand.
CTGTGTGAGGGGCAAACATTCAGACCGTCGTAACAGTGTTCTGCAATCCTGTGTGAGGGAAAAACATTCCGACCACAGCAAGAGTGTTCTGGAATCCCCTGTGAGGAACAAACATTCCGACCCTCATAGCAGTGTACTGGAATCTTATCTGATGGACAAATATTTAGAACCCAGCAGCAGTGTTCTGGAATCCTATGTGAGTGACAAACACTCAAAACATAGCAGGAGTGTTTTAGAATACTATGTGAGGGATAAACAATCTGACCTTCACAACAGTGTTCTGGAATCCTGAGTGAGGGATAAACATTCAGACCCTGATAGCAGTGTTCTGGAATCCTATGTGAGGGACAAACATTCAGACCACAGCAGGACTGTTTTGGAATTCCCTTTGAGAAACAAACTTTTAGACCCTCATAGCTGTGTTCTGCAATCCTGTGTGTGGGACAAAATTTCAAAACCTCGTAGCAGTGTTCTGGAATCCTATGTGAGGTACAAACATTCAGACAATCGTAGCAGTGTTCTGGAATCCCATGTGAGGGACAAACATGCAGACCCTCGTAAGAGTGTTCTGGAATCCTATGTGAGAGACAAACATTCAGACAATCGTAGCAGTGTTCTGGAATCCAATGTTAGTGACAAAGTTTCAGACCCCAGCAGCAGTGTTCTGGAATCCTATTTGAGGGACAACCATTCAGACACTTTCAGCAGTGTTCCAGAATCCTGTGTCAGGGACAAACATTTTGACCACTGCAGGACTCTTCTGGAATCCCTTGTGGGGAACAAACATTCAGACCCTCGTAGGTGTGTTCTGTAATCCTATGTGACTGACACACATTTAGACCACAGCAGCAGTGTTCTGGAATCCCATGTGAGGGACAAACATTCAGACACTCGTAGCAATGTTCTGGAGTCCTGTGTGAGGGACAAAAATTCAGGCCACAACAAGAGTGTATTGGAATCCCCTGTGAGGAACAAACATTTTGAACCTCCTAGCAGTGTCTGGAATATTATCTGACGGACAAACATTTAGACCCCAGCAGCAGTATTATAGAATCTCATGTGAGGGACAATATTTCAGAACGTCATAGCAGTGTTCTGGAATATTATATGAGTGAAAAATATTCAAACATCCTCGGGAGTGTTCTGGAATCTTATGTCACGGACAAGCATTCAGACCCTCGTCGCAGTGTTCTGGAATTCTATGTGAGGGAGAAACACTCAGAACCCAGCAGCAGTGTTCTGGAATCCTATGTGAAGGACATACATGTAGACCATAGCAGCAGTGCTCTGGAATCCTTTGTGACAGACAAACATTCAGACCCCAGCAGCAGTGTTCTGGAATCCTGTGTGAGGGACAAACATTCAGACCCCAGCTGCAGTGTTCTGGTATCCTATGTGATGGACAGTCATAAAGACCCTCGTAGCAGTGTTCTGGAATTCTTTGTGAGGGACAAACATTCAGACATTCATAGCAGTGATGTGGAATCCCATGTGAGTGACAAACATTCAGACCACAGCAGAAGTGTTCTGGAATCCCCTGTGAGGAACAAACATTCAGACTCTCGTAGTAGTGTTCTGGAATCCTATTTGAAGGACAAACATTTAGGCCCCAGCAGCAGGGTCCTTGAATCCTATGTGAGGGACAAATATTCAGACCCTGGTAGCACTGTTCTGGCTTTCTTTCTGAGGGACAAACATTCAGTCCACAGCAGGAGTGTTCTGGAATCCTAAGTGAGGGACAAACATTCACACCCTCGTAGCAGTGTTCTGGAATCCTATGTGAGGGACAAACATTCAAATAAATACTTGAGTGTTTTTGAATCCTATGTTACGGACAAACATTCAAACCCTCGTCGCAGTGTTCTGGAATTGTTTGTGAGTGAGAAACACTCAGAAACCAGCAGCAGTGTTCTGGAATCCTATGTTTCGGACATAAATGTAGACCCCAGCAGCAGTGTTCTGGAATCCTAAGTGAGGGACAAACATTCAGACCCTAGCAGCAGCATTCTGGAATCCTATTGAGGGACAAAAATTCTGACCCTCATCTCAGTGGTCTGGAATTCTAGGTGAGGAAGAAACTCAGACAATCGTAGCAGTGTTCTGGAATCCTATGTGAGGGGCAAACATTCAAACAACAGCGGGAGTGCTCTTGAATCATATGTTATGGACAAACACTCAGACCCTCGTAGCAGTGTTCTGGAATCCTATGAGAGGGACAAACATTCAGACCCTCCAGGTTTGTTCTGGAATCCTATGTGAGGGACAAATATTAAGAAAATCGTAACATTGTACTGGAATCCTGTGTGAGGGACAAACATTCAGTCCCCATTAGCAGTGTTCTGGATTCCTATGTGAGGGACAAACATTCCCACAACAGCGGGAGTGTTCTGTAATCCTATGTTACGGACAAACATTCAGACCCTCATCGCAGTGTTCTGGAATCCTATGTGAGGGAGAAACACTTAGAAACCAGCTGCAGTGTTCTGGAATCTTATGGGATGGACACACATGTAGACCCCAGCAGCATTGTTCTGGAATCCTGTGAGACGGACAAACATTCAGACCCCAGCAGCAGTGTTCTGGAATCCTAGAGTAGGGATAATCATTAAGATCCTGGCTGCAGTGTTCTGCAATTCTGTGTGAGGGACAAACATTCAGAGCCTCATAGGAGTGTTCTGGAATCCTATGTGATTGACAAACATTCAGACCACAGCAGGAGTGTTCTCGAATCCCCTGTGAGGAACAAATATTCAGACCCTCGTGGCAGTGTTCTGTAATCCTATGTGAGGGACCAACATTTAGACCACAGCAGCAGTGTTCTGGAATCCTATGTGAGGGACAAACATTCAAACAACAGCGGGAGTGTCCTTGAATCATATGTTACGGACAAACATTCAGACCCGCGTAGCAGTGTTCTGGAATCCTTTGAGAGGGACAAACATTCAAACAACTGCGGGAGTGTTCTGTAATCCTATGTTATGGACAAATATTAATATAATCGTAACATTGTTCTGGAATCCTGCGTGAGGGACAAACATTCAGTCCCCATTAGCAGTGTTCTGGATTCCTATGTGAGGGACAAACATTCAAACAACTGTGGGAGTGTTCTGTAATCCTATGTTATGGACAAATATCAGACCCTTGTCGCAGTGTTCTGGAATTCTATGTGAGGGAGAAACATTTAGAAACCAGCAGCACTGTTCTGGAATCCTATGGGATGGACACACATGTAGACCCCAGCAGCATTATTCTGGAATCCTATGAGACAGACAAACATTCAGACCCTAGCAACAGTGTTCTGGAATCCTAGAATAGGGATAATCATTCAGACCCTGGTAGCAGTATTCTGGAATTCTGTGTGAGGAACAAACATTCAGAGCCTCATAGCAGTGTTCTGGAATCCTATGTGATTGACAAACATTCAGACAACAGCAGGAGTGTTCTGGAATCATCTGTGAGGAACAAACATTCAGACAACAGAAAGAGTGTTCTGGAATCATCTGTGAGGAACAAACATTCAGACCCTCTTAGCAGTGTTCTGTAATCCTATGTGAAATCATCCTATGTGACAGACAAACATTTAGACCCCAGCAGCAGTGTTCTGGAATCCTATGTGAGGTAGAAACATTCAGACCCTCATAGCAGTGTTCTGGAATCCTACATGAGCGACAAACACACTGAAACCAGCAGCAGTGTTCTGGAACCCTATGTGAGGGATAAACATTCAGACCATGCCAGGATTGTTCTGGAAACCTATGTGAGGGACCAACACTCCGAACCCAGCAGAAAGGTTTTGAAATCCTGTGTGAGGGACAAACGTTTAGACTCTCGTAGCAGTGTTCTGGAATCATATGTGAGGGACAAATATACAGACCATAGCAGGAGTGTTCTGGAATCCTATGTGAGGGACAAACATTCAGACCCTCATAGCAGTGATCTGGAATTCTATGTGAGGGACAAACATTCAGACATTGGTAGCATTGTTCTGGAATCCAATGTGAGGGACAAACATTCTGACCCTCATAGCAGTGTACCAGAATCCTGTGTTAGGAACGAACATTCAGACCACAGCATTAGTGTTCTGGAATCCCCTGTGAGGAACAAACATACAGACCCTCGTAGTAGTGTTCTGGAATCCTATGTGACGGCCAAATATTTATACCCCAGGAGCAGTGTTCTGGAATCCTCAGTGAGGAAAACCATTCAGAATCTTGTAGCAGTTTTGTGGAATCCTATGTGAGGGACAAACATTCAGACCACAGCGGGATTGTTCTGGAATGATATGTGAGGGACAAACACTAAGAAAATAACAGGAATGTTTTGGAATCCTATGTGAGTGACAAAAATTCAGACCCTCGTAGTAGTGTTCTGGAATCGTATGTGAGGGACAAGCATTCAGACCACAGCAGGAGTGTTCTGGAATCCTATGGGAGGGACATACATTCAAACCCTAGTTAGCAGTGTTCTGGAATCCTATGTGAGGGAAAAGCATTCAGAGTTTTGTAGCAGTGTTCTGGAATCCTATGTGAGGGACAAACATTCAGACCCTCAAAGGAGTATTCTGGAATCCTATGTGAGGGACAAACATTGAGATAATCATAGCAGTGTGCTGGAATCCTATGTGAGGGACAAACATTCAGACCCCAGCAGCAGTGTTCTGGAATCCTATGTGAGTGATAAACATTCAAACAACAGCGGGAGTGTTCCATAATCCTATGTTACAGACAAATATTCACACCGTCTTCACAGTGTTCTTGAATCCTATGTGAGGGACAAACACTCAGAAATGAGCAGCAGTGTTCTGGAACCCTGTGTGAGGGTCAAAATTTCAGACCACAGCAGGATTGTTCTGTAATCCTATGTTACGGACAAACATTTAGACCTCAGCAGGAGTGTTCTGGAATTCTATGCGAGGCACAGTCATTCGTACCCTCGTAACAGTGTTCTGGAATTCTGTGTGAGGGACAAGCATTCAGAACGTCGTAGCAGTGTTCTGGAATCCTATGTGAGGGACAAACATTCAGACCCTCAAAGGAGTATTCTGGAATCCTATGTGAGGGACAAACATTGAGATAATCATAGCAGTGTGCTGGAATCCTATGTGAGGGACAAACATTCAGACCCCAGCAGCAGTGTTCTGGAATCCTATGTGAGTGATAAACATTCAAACAACAGCGGGAGTGTTCCATAATCCTATGTTACAGACAAATATTCACACCGTCTTCACAGTGTTCTTGAATCCTATGTGAGGGACAAACACTCAGAAATGAGCAGCAGTGTTCTGGAACCCTGTGTGAGGGTCAAAATTTCAGACCACAGCAGGATTGTTCTGTAATCCTATGTTACGGACAAACATTTAGACCTCAGCAGGAGTGTTCTGGAATTCTATGCGAGGCACAGTCATTCGTACCCTCGTAACAGTGTTCTGGAATTCTGTGTGAGGGACAAGCATTCAGAACGTCGTAGCAGTGTTCTGGAATCCTATGTGAAGGACAACCATTCAGACCACAGGAAGAGTGCTCTGGAATCCCCAGTGAGGAACAAACATTCAGACACTAGTAAAAGTGTTCTGGAATCCTATGTGACAGACAAACATTCAGACCCCAGCAGCAGTGTTCTGGAGTTTTATGTGAGGGAAAAACGTTCAGACAATCATAGCAGAATTCTGGAATCCTATGTGAGGGACAAACATTCAGACCTCAGCTGCTGCGTTCTGGAATCCTATGTGAGGGACAAACATTCATACAACAGTGGGAGTGTTCTGGAATCCTATGTTACAGGCAAATATTCAGACCCTCGTCCGAGTGTTCTGGAATTCTATGTGAGGGAGAAACATTCAGAACCCACCAGCATTGTTCTGGAATCCTATGTGACGGACAGACATGCAGACCCCAGCAGCATTGTTCTGGAATCCTATGTGACGGTCAGACATGTAGACCCCAGCAGCATTGTTCTGGACTCCTATGTGAGGGATGATCATTCAGACCCTCGTTGCAGTGTTTTGGAATTCTGTGTGAGTGAGAAACATTCAGACCCTTGTAGAAGTGTTCTGGAGCCCTGTGTGAGGGACAAACATTCAGACCACAGCAGGAGTGTTCTGGAATCCACCGTGAGGAACAAACATTCCGACCCTCGTAGCAGTGTTCTGGAATCCTAAGTGATGGATAAACATTTAGACCCAGTAGCAGTGTTCTGGAATCCCCAGTGAGGAACAAACATTCAGACAATCGTAGCAGTTTTCTGGTATTCTATGTGAGGGACAAACATTCAGACCCCAGCAGCAGTGTTCTGGAATCCTATGTGTGGGACATACATTCAGACCCTCGTAGGAATGTTCTGGAATCCTTTGTGAGGGACATGTATTAAGATAATCATAGCAGTGTTCCAGAATCCTATGTGAGGGACAAACATTCAGACCCCAGGAGCAGTGTTCTGGAATCCTATGTGAGGGAGAAACATTCAACCAACAGCGGGAGTGTTCTGAAATCCTATGTTAAGGACAAACATTCAGACCCTAGTTGCAGTGTTCTAGAATTCTATGTGAGGGAGAAACACTCAGAAACCTGCAGCAGTGTTCTGGAATCTAGGTGACGCCCATAAATCTACACCCCAGCAGCAGTGTGGTGGAATCCTATATGATGGACAAACATCCAGAACCCAGCAGCAGTGTTCTGGAATCCTATGTGAGGTACAAACATTCAGACCCCAGCAGCAGTGTTCTGGAATCCTATGAGAGGGACAATCATTCAGACCCTTGTAGCAGTATTGTGGAATTCTGTGTGAGGGATAAACATCCAGAAACTCATAGCAGTGTTCTGGAATGCTCTGTGAGGTACAAACATTCAGACCCTCGTAGCAGTGTTCTGGAATACTACGTGAGGGACAAACATTGAGACCTCATAGCAGTGTTCTGGAATCCTATGTGACAGACAAACATTTAGATGGCAGCAGCAGTGTTCTGGAATCCTATGTGAGGTACAAACATTCAGAACACTGCAGAAGTGTTCTGGAATCTCCTGTGAGGAAGAAACTTTTAGACCCTCATAAAAGTGGTCTGGATTCCGATGTGATGGACAAACATTTAGACCCCAGCAGCAGTGTTCTGGAATCCTATGTGAGAGACAAACATTCAGAACCTCGTAGCAGTGTTCTGGAATCCTATGTGAGGGACAAACCCTCAGAACTCAGCAACTGTATTCTGGAATCCTATGGAGGGACAAACACTGAGACCACAGCAAGATTGTTCTGAAATCCTATGTGGGGGACAAACACTTCGAACACTGCAGGAGTGTTTTGGAATCCTATGTGAGGGACAAACATTCAGAGCCTCGTAGCAGTGTTCTGGAATCCTATGTGAGGGAAAAACTATCAGACCACAGCAGGAGTGTTCAGGAATCCTATGTGAGGGACTAACATTTAGATAATCAAAGCCGTGTTCTGGAATCCTATGTGAGAGGCAAACATTCATACACTCATAGCAGTGTTCTGCAATCCTATGTGAGGGACAAATATTCAGATCATCCTAGCAGTGTTCTGGAATCCTATGTGAGGGACAAATATTCAGATCATCCTAGCATTGTTCTGGAATCCTATGTGAGGGACAAAAATGCAGACAGTCGTAGCAGTGTTCTGGAATCCTATGTGAGGGACAAAAATGCAGACAATCGTAGCAGTGTTCTGTAATCCTATGGGAGGGACAAAAATTCAGAGCCTCCCAGCAGTGTTCTGGAATCCTATGTGAGGGTCAGACATTCAGACAATCGTAGAGTGTTCTGGAATCCTATGGGAGGGATAAACATTCAAAAAACAGCGAGAGCGTCTGACATCCTACGTTTCGGACAAACATGCATACCCTCGTCGCAGTGTTCTGGAATTTATGTGAGGGAGAGACACACAGAACCCAGCAGCAGTGTTCTGGATTCCTATGTGACGGACATACATGTAGACCCCAGCAGCAGCGTTCTGGAATCCTATGTGAGGGAAAAACATTCAGGCACCAGCAGCAGAGTTCTGGAATCCTATATGAAGGACAATCATTCAGACCCTCGTAACAGTGTTCTGGAATTCTGTGTGAGGGACAAACATTCAGACCACAGCAGGACTATTCTGGAATCCCCAGTGAGGAAGAAACATTCAGACCCTCGTAGCACTGTTCTTGAATCCTGTGTGATGGACAAACATTTAGACCCCAGCAGCGGTGTTCTGGAATCCTATGTGTGGGACCGTCATTCAGAACCTCGTAGCGTGTTCTGGAATCTGGTGTGATGCAGAAACATTCAGATCACAACAGTAGTGTTCTGGATCTGATGTGTCTACAAACACTCAGAACACAGCAGGAGTGTTTTGGAATCCTATATGAGGGAAAAACATTCAGACCCTCGTAGCAGTGTTCTGGAATCCTATCTAAGGGACAAACATTCAGACAATCATAGGAGTGTTCTGGAATCCGATGTGAGGGACAAACATTCAGACTCTTGTATCAGTGTTCTGAAATCCTACGTGAAAGACAAACATTCAAACAATCGCAGCAGTGTTCTGGAATCCTATGTGAGGGACAAATATTCAGACCCTCGTAGCAGTGTACTGGAATCCTATGTGAGGGACAAACTTTCAGACCAGAGCAGCAGTGTCCTTGAATCCTGTGTGAGGGACAAATATTGAGATCCCAGCAGGAGTGTTCTGGAATCTTTTGTTAATGAGAAACATTCAGACTACAGCAGGAGTGTTCTGGAATCCTATGGGAGCAACAAACATTCAGACCCCAGCACCAGTGTTCTTTTGTCCTATGTGAGAAACAAAAATTCAGATGCTCGCAGCAGTGTTCTGAAATCCTATGTGAGGGAAAAACATTCAGAACCTCGTAGCAGTGTTTTGGAATCCTATGGGAGGACAAAAAATCAGACACTCCTACTAGTGCTCTGGAAACCTATGTGAGGGACAAACATTCAGACCACAGCAGGAGTGTTCTGGAATCGCCTGTGAGGGAGAAACATTCAGACCCTCATAGCTGTGTTCTGGAATCCAATGTGACGGACAAAGATTTAGACCCCAGCAGCAGTGTTCTGGAATCCTATGTGATGGACAGACATTCAGACAATCGTAGCAGTGTTCTGGAATCCTATGTGAGGGACAAACATTCAGAACCCAGCAGCAGTGTTCTGGAATCCTATGTGAGGAACAAACATTCAAACAAACAACAGCGGGAGTGTTCGGGAATCTTATGTTACGGACAAACATTCAGACCATCATTGCAGTTTTCCGGAATTCTATGTGACGGAGAAAGACTCAGAACTCCGCAGCAGTGTTCTGGTATTCTATGCGATGGACATACATGCAGACCTCAGCAGCAGTGTTCTGGACTCGTATGTGAGGGACAAACATTCAGACCCCAGCAGCAGTCTTCTGAAATCCTACATGAGAGACAATCATTCAGCCCCTCGTTGCATTGTTCTGGAATTCTGTGTGAGGGAAAAACTTTCAGACAATCATGGCAGTGTTCCAGAATCCTACGTGAGGGTCAAACTTTCAGAACACAGAAGTAGTGATCTGGAATCCCCTGTGAGGAATAAACATTCAGAACCCTGTAGCAGTAACCTGGAATCCGATGTGACGGACAAACCTTTAGACCCCAGCAGCATTGATCTGGAATCCTATTTGAGGGACAATCATTCAGACCCTCTCAGCAGTATTCTGTCATCCTATGTGCGGGAGAAACATTCAGACCAGAGTGGGGGTGTTCTGTAATAATATGTGACAAACATTTCGATCCTCACAGAAGTGTTCTGGAATATTATATGAGGGACAAAGGTTCAGACAATTGTAGCAGTGTTCTGGAATCCTACGTGAGGGACAAACATTCAGAACCTAGAAGCAGTGTTCTAGAATCCTATATGAGGGACAAACGTTCAAACAACAGCGGGAGTGTTCTGGAGTCCTATGTTATGGACAAACATTCAGACCCTAGCAGAAGTGTTCTGGAATCCCATGTGACAGACAAACACTCAAACAAGAGCGGGAGTGGTCTGGAATCCTAAGTTAGGATCATACATTCAGACCCCCGTTGCAGTGTTCTGGAATTCTATGTGTGGGAGAAACACTCAGAACCAGCAGCAGTGTTCTGGCATCCAATGTGAGGGACACACGAGTAGACTGCAGCAGCAGTGTTCTGGAATCCTATGTGAGGGACAAACATTCAGACCCCAGCAGCAGTGTTCTGGAATACTATATGAGGCACATTCATTCAGACCCTCGTTGCAGTGATCTGGAATCCTATGTGAGGGACAAACAGAACACAGCAGGAGTGTTTTGGAATCCCCTGTGAGGAACAAATATTCAGACCCTCGTCGCAGTGTTCTGGAATCCGATGTGAGGGACCAACAATCAGACAATCGTAGAAGTGTTCTGAAATCCTATCTGAGGGACAAACATTCAGACCCTTGTAGCAGTGTTCTGGAATCCTATGTGAGGGAGAAACATTCAGACAACCGTAGAACTGTTCTGGAATGTGAGTGACAAATATTCAGTCCCCAGCAGCAGTGTTCTGGAATCTTATGTGAGGGAAAAACATTCAAAAAACAGCGGAAGTGTTCTGGAATCCTACGTTAGAAACATAAATTCCAAGTATAATAATAATAAACGAAATAATATAACATAAAAAGAAACATACATTCAGACCCTCGATGCAGTGTTCTGGAATCTATGTGAGGGAGAAACACTCAGAACCCGGCCTCAGTGTTCTGGAATCCGATGTGAAAGACATACACATAGACTCCTGCAGCAGTGTTCTGGAGTCCTATGTGGGGGACAAACATTAAGACCCCAGAAGCAGTGTTCTGGAATCCTACGTGAGGGACAGTCAATCAGACCCTCGTAGTAGTGTTCTGGAATTCTGTGTGAGGGACAAACATTCAGACCCTCCTTGCAGTTTTCTGGAATTCAATGTGAGGGACAAACTTTCAGACCACAGCAGGGGTGTTGTGGAATCCCCGGTGAGGAACAAACATTGAGACACTCGTAGCAGTGTTCAGGAATCCTATGTGATGGACAATCATTTAAACCCCAGCAGCAGTGTTCTGGAATCCTATGTGAGAGAGAAACATTCAGACACTCGTAGCAGTGTTCTGGAATCCTATGTGAGGGACAAACACTCAGAACCCAGCTGCAGTGTTCTGGAACACTATGTTAGGGACAAACATTCAGACCACAGCAGGATTGTTCTGGAATTCTATGTGAGGGACACACATTCAGAAAACAGCAGGAGTGTTTTGGAATCCAACTTGGAGGACAAATATTCAGACCCTCGTAGCAGTGTTCTGGAATCCTATGTGAGGAGCAAACATTCACATAATCGTAGCAGTGTTCTGGAATCCTATGTGAGGGACAAACATTCAGAACTTCATAACAGTGTTCTTAAATCCAATGTGAGGGACAAACATTCAGACTGTCGTAGCGGTGTTCTGGAATCCTATGTGAGAGACAAACCCTCAGAACACAGCAAGAGTGTTTTGGAATCCTATGTGAGAGACAAATATTCAGATCCTCATAGCAGTGTTCTGGAATCCTATGTTAGGGACAAACATTCAGACTATCGTAGCAGTGTTCTGGAATCCTATGTGAGGGACAAATATTAAGACTATCATAGCAGTGTTCTGGAATCCTATGGGAAGGACAATCATTCAGACCCTCGTACCACTGTTCTGTAATTCCGTGTGAGGGACAAAGCTTTAAACCAAAGAAGGAGTGTTCTGGAATCCCCTGTGAGGAACAAACATTCAGACCCTCGTATCAGGGTTCTGGAATCCTATTTGACAGAGAAACATATAGACCCCAGCAACAGAGTTCTGGGGTCCAATGTGAGAAAAAAACAATCAGACCCTCGTAGCAGTGTTCTGGAATCCTATGTGGGGGACAAACATTCAGAGAATCGTAGCAGTTTTCTGGAATGCAATGTGAGGGAAAAACATTCAGACCCCTGTTGCAGTGTTCTGGAAACCTATGTGAGGGACACACATTCAGACCACTGCATGATTGATCTGGAATCCTATGTGAAGGACAAACACTCAGAACACAGCAGGAGTGTTTTGGAATCCTATGTGAGGGACAAACATTCAGAACCTCTTAGCAGTGTTCTGGAAACCTATGTGAGGGACACACATTCAGACCACTGTATGATTGATCTGGAATCCTATGTGAAGGACAAACACTCAGAACACAGCAGGAGTGTTTTGGAATCCTATGTGAGGGACAAACATTCAGACCCTCTTAGCAGTGTTCTGGAATCCTATGCGAGGGACAAACATTGAAACAATAACTGGAGTGTTCTGAAATCCTATGTTATGGACAAACATTCAGATCCTCATTGCATTGTTATGGAATTCTATGTGAGGGAGAAACACTCAGAAACTAACAGCAGTTTTCTGGCATCCTATGTGACAGACAAACTTTTAGACCCCAGCAGCAGTGTTCTGGAATCCTACCTGAGGGACAAACTTTGAGACCCCAGCAACAGTGTTGTTGAATCCTATGTGAGGGACAAAAATTAAGACCCCGGTAGGAGTGTTCTGGAATCTTTTGTGAAAGACAAACATTCAGACACAGCAGGAGTGTTCTGGAATTGTATGTTAGCAACAAACATTCGCATTCTAGCAGCAGAGTTCTTTGGTCCTATGTGAGGCACAAACTTCCAGACGCTCGTAGCAGTTTTCTGGAATATTATGTGATGGAAAAACATTCAGAATCTCATAGCAGTGCTTTGGAATCCTATGTGAGCACAAACATTCGGACTCCAGCAGCAGTGTTCTGGAATCCTATTTGAGGCACAAACATTCAGACCCTCGTAGCAGTGTTCTGGAATGCTATGTGATGGAGATCCATTCATACTACAGCAGCAGAGTTCTGGAATCTTGTGTGAGGGACAGACATTCAGACCACAGCCGGAGTGCTATGGAATCCTATATTAGGGACAAACATTCAGACCCTTGTAACAGTTTTCTGAAACCCTATGTGAGAGAGAAACATTCGGACCTCAGCAGCAGCGTTCTAGAATCCTATATGAGGCACATTCATTCAGACCCTCGTTGCAGTGATCTGGAATCGTATGTGAGGGACAAACACTCAGAACACAGCAGGAGTGTTTTGGAATCCCCTGTGAGGAACAAACATTCAGACCCTCATAACAATGTTCTGGAATCCTATGCGAGGGACCTACATTCAGACAATCGTAGAAGTGTTCTGGAATCCTATGTGAGGGACAAACATTCAGACCCTGGTAGAAGTGTTCTGGAATCCTATGTGAGGGACAAACATTCAGAAAACCGTAGCAGTGTTCTGGAATCCTATGTGAGGGACAAACATTCAAACAACAGCGGGAGTGTTCTGGAATCCTATGTTAGGAACGTATATTCAAACCGTCGTTACAGTGTTCTGGAATTCTAAGTGAGGGACAAACACTCAGAACCCAGCTGCAGTCTTCTGGAACCCTGTTTGAGAGACCAACATTCAGACAATCGTAGAAGTGTTCTGGAATCCTATGTGAGGGACAGTCATTCAAACACTCGTAGCAGTGTTCTGGAATCCTATGTGAAGTACAAATACTCAGAACCCAGCAACAGTGTTCTGGAACCCTATGTGAGATACAAACATTCCGACCACAGCTGTATTCTTCTGGAATCCTAAGTGAGGGACAAAACTTCAGACATTCGTGGCGGTGTTCTGGAATCCTATGTGAGGGACAAACATTCAGACAATCGTAGAAGGGTTCTGGAATTCTATGTGAGTGACAAATATTCAGAGCCCCGTAGCAGTGTTCTGGAATCCTATGTGAGGGACAAACATTCAGACCCCATCAGTAGTGTACTGGAATAACATGAGAGGGACAATCATTCAGACCCTCAGAGCAGTGTTCTGGAATTCTGTGTGATGGACATACATTAGGAACCTCGTAGCAGTGTTCTGGAATCCTGTCTGAGGGACAAACATTCAGACCACAGCAGGAGTGTTACGGAATCCCCTGTGAGGAGGAAACATTCAGACCCTCGTAGCAATGTTCTGGAATCCTACGTGATGGACAAACATTTAGACCATACCAGCAGTTTTCTGGAATCCTATGTGAGGTACAAACACTCAGAACCCAGCAGCAGTGTTCTGGAACCCTATGTGAGGGACAAACATTCAGACCACTGCAGGATTGTTCTGGAATCCTATGTTAGGGACAAACACTCAAAACACAGCAGGAGTGTTTTGGAATTCTATGTGAGAGACAAATTTTGAGACCCTCGTAGCAGTGTTCCAGAATCATATGTGAGGGAGAAACATTCAGACAATCGTATCAGTGTTCCAGAATCATATGTGAGGGACAAACATTCAGACCCTCGGAGCATTGTTCTGGAATGCTATGTTAGGGACAAACATTTAGACAATCGTAGCAATGTTCTGGAATAATATGTGAGGGACAAACATTCAGACAGTCTCAGCAGTGTTCTGGAATCCTATGCGAGGGACAAACATTCAGACCTCAGCAGCAGTGTTCTGGAATCCTATGTGAGGGACAAACATTAAAACAACAGCGAAAGTGTTCTGGAATCCTATGTTATGAACAAACATTCAGACCCTCGTCGCAGTGTTCTGGAATTCTATGTGAGGGAGAAATACTCAGAACCCAGCAGCAGGGTTCTGGAATCATGTGAAGGACATACATATAGACTCCAGCAGCATTGTTCTGGAATCCTATGTGAGGGACAAACAGTCACACCCCAGCAACAGCGTTCTGGAATCCTATATGAGGGACAATCATTCAGATGCTTGTAGCAGTGTTCTGGAATTCTGTGTGAGGGACAAACTTTCAGATGCTCGTAGCAGTGTTCTGGAATTCTGTGTGAGGGACAAACTTTCAGACCCTCGTAGCAGTGTTCTGGAATCCTGTGTGAGGGACAAACTTTCAGATGCTCGTAGCAGTGTTCTGGAATTCTGTGTGAGGAACAAACCTTCAGACCCTCTTAGCAGTGTTCTGGAATCATATGTGTCGGACAAACATTTAGACCTCAGCAGCACTGTTCTAGAATCCTATGTGAGGGGCAATCATTCAGACACTCGCAGCGGTGTTCAGGAATCAGATGTGAGGGACAAACACTCAGAACCCAGCAGCAGTGTTCTGGAACCCTATTTGAGGGACAAACAGTCAGATCACAGCTGTATTGTTCTGAAATCCTATGTGAGGAACAAACATTCAGACATTCGTAACGGTGTTCTTGAATCCTACGTGAGGGACAAACATTCAGACGCCAGCAGCATTGTTTTGGAATCCTATGTAAGGGACAAGCATTCAAACAACAGCGGGAGTGTTTTGGAATCCTATGTGTGGGACAAACTTTAAGACAACAGCAGGAGTCTTCTGAAATCCTATGTGAGAAACAAACATTTACAACACAGCAGCAGTGTCCTGGAGTCCTATGTGAGGGGCAAATATTCAGAACCTCATAGCAGTTTTCTGGAATCCTAGGAGAGGGACAAACACTCACAACCCAACAGGAGTGTTCTGGGACCCTGTGTGAGGGAAAAGCATTCAGACAACAACAGGAGTGTTCTGGAATCATATGTGAGGGAGAAACACTCATACCACATCAGGAGTGTTCTAGAATCCCCTGTGAGGGACAAACATTCAGACCCTGGTAAGAGTGTTCCAGAAACCTATGTGAGGGGTAAGCATTTAGTTCCTCCTAGCAGTGTTCTGGAATCCTATGTGGGGGACAAACAGTCAGACCACAACAGGAGTGTACTAGAATCCCCTGTGAGGGACAAACATTCAGACCTTTGAAGCAGTGTTCTGGAATACTAGTGAGGGACAAAGATTCAGACTAGAGCAGAATTCTTCTGGAATCCTATGTGAGGAACGGATATTTAGACCACATCAGGAGTGTTCTGGAATGCTATTTGAGGGACAAACATTCAGTCCCTCTTAGCAGTGTTCTGGAATCCTTTGTGAGGGCTAACCACTCAGAACCCAGCAGCAGTGTTCTGTAATCCTATGAGAGGGACAAACATTCATACCACAGGAGGAATGTTCTGGAATCCTATGTGAGAGACAGACATTCAGACCCTGGTAGCAGTGTTCTGGAATCCTATGTGAAGGCCAAACACTCAGAAACCAGCAGCAGTGTTGTGGAATCCTATGCGAGCGACAAACATTCAGATGCCAGAAGCATTGTTCTGGAATCCTATATGAGGGGCAAACATTCAGACCTAAGCAGGAGTATTATTTAATCCTATGTGATGGATAAACATTCGGACCCCTGCAGCAGTGTTCTGGATACCTATGTGTGGGAGAAACAGTCAGAAACCAGCAGAACGGTTCTGGAATCCTCTGTGATGGACAAACATTTAGAGTCTAGAAGCATTTTTAAGCAATCCTATGTGAGGGAGAAAACATCCAGACCCCAGCAGAAGTGTTCTGGAATCCTTTTTGAAGGAATAACATTTAGTCCCCAGCCGCAGTGTTCTGGAATCCTATGTGAAGGACAAACATTCAGACCCTCCTAGCAGTGTTGTGGAATCCTATGTGAGGGACAAACATACAGATCACAGCAGGAGGGTTATTGCGTCTTATGTGAGGGACAGCCAGAACCCAGCAGGGGTGTTCTGGAATCCTATGTGAGGGACAAATATACAGACCACAGCAGAAGTTTTCTGGAATCCTTTGTGCAGAACAAACATTCAGATCACAGCAAAATTTTTCCAGAATCCTATGTGAGGGACAAAGCTTCAGAACCTCTTAGCAGTGTTCTTGAATCCTATGTAAGGGACAAACTTTCAGACTCCTGTGGCAGTGTTTTAGAATTCGATGTGAAGGACAAACAATCAAAACCCAGAGGCAGTGTTCTTGGATCTTATGTGAAGGACAAACATTCAGACCCTCTTAGCAGTGTTCTGAAATCCTATGTGAGGGAAAAGTATTCAGACTCTCGTAGCAGTGTTCTGGAATCCGACGTGAGGGAGAAACATTCAGACCACAGAAGGAATGTTCTGGAATCCTATGTGAGTAACGTTCAGACCACAGCACGATTGTTCTGGAATCCCATGTGAGGTACAAACATTCAGACGCCAGCAGCAGTGTTCCGAAATCCTATTTTAGGTACAAACATTCACACCACAGCAGGATTGTTCTGGAATCCTATGTGAGAGACAAACATTCAGACCCCAGGGGTAGTGTTCTGGAATCCTATGTGAGGGACAAACTTTCAGACCACAGCGGGAGTGTTCTGGAATCCTATCTGAGAGACAAACATTCACACCCTCGTAGCAGTGTTCTTGAATCTTATGTGAGGGACAAACATTCAAACTCTCCTAGCAGTGTTCTGGAATCCGATGTGAGGGACAAACACTGCAAACCCAGCAGCAGTGTTCTGGAATCCTAAGTGAGGGACAAACATTCAGACCACAGCAGGAGTGTTGCGGATTCCTATGTGAGGGAGAATAATTCAAACTCTAGTAGCAGTGTTCTGGAATCCTATGTGAGGGACAAACATTCAGAGCCCAGTAGCAGTGTTGTGGAATCTTACTTGAGGGACAAACACTCAGACCATGGCAGGAGTGTTTTGGAATCCTTTGTGAGTGAGAAACACTCAGACCACAAGAGGATTGCTCTGGAATCCCATGTGAGGCAAAACCACTGAGACTACAGCAGCAGTTTTCTGGAATCCCATGTGAGGGTCAACCATTGAGACTACAATAGTAGTGTTCTGGAATCCTATATGAGAGACAATCATTCATAACACAGCAGTAGTGTACTGGAATATTATGTGAGGAACAAGCATTCAGACCACAGCAGCAGTGTTCTGGAATCATACATGAGGGACAAACACTCAGAAGCCAGCAGCGGTGTTCTGGAATCCTATTTGAGCGGCAAACATTCAGAACAGAGCAAGAGTGTCTTGGAATCCTATGTGAGGTACAATCATTCAGAGCCTCGTAGCAGTGTTCTGGAATCGTACTAGAGGGACAAACACTGAGAACCCAACAGCAGTGTTCTGGATTCCTTAGGGGGGGACAAACATTCAGAGCATGGCAGGAGTGTTCTGGAATCCCATGTGAGGGAGAAAAATTCAGACCTTCGTAGCAGTGTTCTGGAATCCTATGTGAGGGACAAACATTTAGACCCAAGTAGCTGTGTTCTGGAATCTTACGTTAAGTACAAACACTCAGAAACCAACAGCAGTGCTCTGGAATCCTAAGTGAGGGACAAACTTTCAGACCACAGCACGAGTGTTCTGGAATCCTGAGTGAGAGACAAACATTCGGAACACAGCAGGAGTGTTCTGGAACGCTATGTCAGGGAGAATAATTCAGACCCTCATAGCAGTGTTCTGGAATCCTATGTGAGGGACAAACATTCAGACTCCAGTAGCAGTGTTTTGGAATCCTATTTGAGGGAGAAACACTCAGACCAGAGAAGAAATGTTTTGGAATCCTATGTGAGGGGGAAACATTCAGAACACAGCAGGATAGATCTGGAAACCCTTGTGAGGCACAAACACCCAGATGACAGGAGGAATGTTCTGGAATCCTATATAAGGGTCAAGTATTCAGACCACAGCAGTAGTGTTCTGGAATCCTATATGAGGGACAAACATTCAGACCCTCGTAGCAGTGTTCTGGAATCCTATGTAAAAGACAAACACTCAGAAACCAGGAGCAGTGTTCTGTAATCCTTTGTGAGGGAGAAACTTTCAGACCACAGAAGGAGTGTTCTGGAATCCTAAGTGAGGGACAAACATTCAGACCAAAGCAGCAGTGTTCTGGACTCCTATGTGAGGGACAAACATTTAGGCCCACGTAGCAGTGTTCTGGAATCCTATGTGAGGGACAAACATTCAGAAACTCGTAGCAGTGTTGTGGAATCCTATGTGAGGGAGAAACACTCAGAACGCAGCAGCAGTGTTCTGGAATCCTATGTGAGGGACAAACATTCAGAGCAGAGCAGGAATGTTCTGGAGTCCTATGTGCGGGACAAACTTTCAATCCCTCATAGCAGTGTTCTGGAATTCTATGTGATGGACAAACATTTACAACCATGAGGCAGTGTTCTGGAGTCATACGTGAGGGACAAACACTCAGATCCCAAACTCAGTGTTCTGGAATCCCATTTGAGGGACAAACATTCAGACCAGAGCAGGAGTGTTCCGTAATCCTATGTGAGGTACAATCATTCAGACCCTCGTAGCAGTGTTCTGCAGTCCTATGTGAGGGACAAACACTCAGAACCCAGCAGCATTGTTCTGGAATCTTATATGAGGGACCATCATTCAGACCACAGCTGGCATCTCCTGGAATCCTACGTGTGGGACAAGCATTCAGACTCTCGTAGCACTGTTCTGGAATCCTAGGTTAGGAAAATACATTCAGAACACAGCAGGAGTGCTCTGGAGTCCTATGTGCGGGACAAACATTGAGACCTTTGTAGCACTGTTGTGGAATCCTATGTGAGGGAGAAACACTCAGAACCCAGCAGCAGTGTTCTGGAATCCTATGTGAGGGACAACCATTCAGACCACAGCTGGAGTGTTCTGGAATCCTACTTGTGGGACAAGCATTCAGACCCTCGTAGCATTGTTCTGTAATCCTATGTTAGGAAATCACATTCAGAACACAGCAGGAGTGTTCTGGAGTCCTATGTGAGGGACAAAGATTCAGACCCTCATAACAGTGTTCTGGAATCTTATGTGAGGTACAAACATTCAGACCCCCCTAGCAGTGTTCTGGAATTGTATGTGAGGGACAAAAACTCAGAACCCAGCAGCAGTGTTCTGGAATCTTATCTGACGGACAAATATTCAGACTAGGGAAGGAGTGCTCTAGAACCCTGTGTGAGGTACAATCATTCAGACCGCAGCAGGACTGTTCTGGAATCATATGTGAGGGGCAATCATTCAGACCACAGCTGATGTGTTCTGGAATCCTACGTGTGGGACAGGCATTCAGACCCTCGTAGCATTGTTCTGGAATCCTATGTTAAGAAAATACAAATGTAAGGCTGAAAGCTGTAAAACTCCTACACAAAAATATAAGGGAAAAATATGCAACGTTATGCCATTGAATTTGGCAGTGGGATCTTGACTGCCAGCTGCCCCACATCCCTGGAACATCCATCCGCTCACCGCTGCCGGGTTCTGGGTCCTTCCACACCTGTCACGCTACTTTGTGAGGGGCTCTGAGGGGCACCAGCCAGGACCCCATGCTGAGCACAGGGCACAGGCCGGGCATTGTCAGGCTATTCGCTGGCAGGCTATCCCCATGCCCGCCTCAGACGCCAGGAGGAAGGGCGGCCTGATCTGAGCCTGCGGAAGGAGGAAGAAGCACGTTTCCTGAGCCAACAGGGACACAGAGGCGGATGCCATAAAATTATATGGCATATATTTTGAAACATGGCCGCAATTTGAATAATTAGAATATCTAAAAACTCCAAAGATTATTATGCTGAAACGGCACCAAAAATTATCATTCCAGTGACTACAGGGAATTTTTAATAGTTGCTATTTTTATAATAAAATTAAACTTTAATGAAATAACTGACTTTCAAACTTCAGCAAGAGGACAAATATTCAGCCAGAGATATCAGTTCCCAGTTTCTGCTCCGGGTCTTCTCTGGTCTTCCACAGCCCCTCCTGCATCACCCAGGGCTAAAGGGCCACCTGGCCTGGCCTGAATCCCCTCGTCCCTCCGCTTCCCCACTCAGCTCCTTCAGCGCCCTCCTGAGGCAGGGGCGGCAAACTGTCCAGAGCTGGAGGCTCCCTCGACCAGGGCAGCACCGCTCCGCCCCTCTCCGCACCTGCCCAGCCCCTGGCAAAGGACGTGCCTGGGCCTGGCCCACTGCACGTCCCCCGACGCCTGCCCTGTGCCTGCAACGGCGACGCTGCCAACAAGAGGTGCCAGAGGCTGAGGCGCAACCCCCCCAGAGCGCAGGGTTCCCACTCACCTGGGAGTAGGGATAGGCCCCTCCTGGTAGGTTGCACTGTTAAGATTATTTCCTTATTTATTTTACTTAAAACTGGTAGAATGTTACTATTATATGACGTACCCATGATTCTGCCAGTAAATTTGGGCATACGTTTATTAGTTTTTGTTAGATTAACTAGTTCTTTTGTTTCTGTTATTAAGGTGAAATTTAAATTCTATCTGAAATCAGTAAGATACAGAGAGATTTTAATGAGAAGTGAGTATTTTTTTCTAAAGGGGAACTGATATCTCTGGCTGAATATGTGTCTTCTTGCTGAAGTTTGAAAGTCAGTTATTTTATTAAAGTTTAATTTTACTATAAAAATAACAACTATTAAAAATTCCCTGTCATCATTGGAAGGATAAATTTTGGTGCAGTGTCAGTATAACAATATTTCGAATTTTTAAATGTTCTAATTATTCAAATTGTGGTCATGCTTTAAAAATATATGCCATAGAAGTTATGTTATTTTAAAATACCATTCTTTATTATGGGAAGAAGCAGTAAATTCACCTTAACCGTAGCAGACTCTAGAGCTGGCTAAAACACCCTTTAGAGGTTAAATTGTAATGAGGTAGACCATCAATGCAAAAAACAGTTTTTTTAGTTGTTCCGCTACCTGTGCAAAACTTATTAGAAGAATGTTCAGAAATTAAAATCTGTGTTTGTTAAGACTTGTTTCTGCTGGGGGTTTTAGAATGTAATAAAAGCTATAAATAAAATTCTAAGCCCCGTATCAACTGAACATACTTCCTCTTGAGCAAGAAGACCCCAGAAAAAAACTTAAAAACTGAATTTCTGGCTATGACAGCAAGAGAGGTGTTATGTGCAGGAGATGCTCCAGGGAAGAAGAAAACACACACACACAATACCTTTAAAGGTCAACAAACTCGATCCCACATAAATGGCAATTCAGATATAATAAGCAAATGATAGAATAAGCAAATTGATACAATAAGCAAATTGCAGTGGGAAGGGGAGAAGGAAAAAAATGTGTGTATATATATATGAGGATAGACTATGGAGGATTCATCACCAGACCGAGAAGCAACAGCCTGGGCTCCAGAGTCAGCCACTCATCCATGCACAAAGGAACACAAAAAGGTCAATTTGCTTTTGCCGTTGTCTGTTGTTTTTCAATAACTAAAGTATAGGAATAGATTGAAATAGAGATTTCTCTGAAACAGTGCTGGATGAATGCCTCAAGGGGCTCACAAAACCTATTCCGAGACTTGGTGACCATTATTTGTGTCCATGTTCAATTGAGTTTAAATATATTATTTAACTTTTTCTGCGTATTCGGTCCCAATTGATACTCAAATGTAGGAAAATACCCTTACAGATATACGAGGAATACATAATTGGTAGAGGTTACAGAAGCAGGGTAAGCAGAGGAGAATTAAAACACAGTTAATAAAAACCGCACCCACCAAGGCCAACGCCAATGCCAGTTGGACAGCCAATTCATGATGGGGTCCTGACAGTTAGATTTTGTTTTGCTTGTCCTTGCATGTCTTGGGCGAGGAGAGTAATATTGTGAGAACTGTCAGGGATACACACACAAAATTCAGTATGCAGCAAGGCTGAAACGCTCCTTGGGCTGCGGTAAGCATACCTAATGCCATTTGATTTTGCAACACAACACTACACAACTGAGCAAATTCCTCTGATAACAACATAAGTCCAGTGCTACTACCATTAAGAGCTTTTTCTACATGTAAGCTTAATATTTAAATTTTTTGCTGAAGCAGAATTGTATCAGTGGCAGAGGAGAACACTGTTATAGGGTACACCCCATCAGGGATTCTGGCGCATTTGTAACCAGTGATGTTTGGAAGCATCTAGATTTAGGAAAGAGGTTGTGTTTCATTGGGGACAATGCTGTTGATTTGGAGTATGTGTTGACAATTGTCTGGTGGGAGAAACCCCAGAGTAACATTAAAAGAGCCATTTAAGGCCTCCAGACAAAGGTGGGGTGCGGTGCCATATGGAGTTCAGCTACCGGTATGGTAGGTTCCCTGTATATGTCTTTCCAGGTATATTGGGTAGGATACAAAGGCCTTTGATGCATTGCAAAAGTGGATTTCTCCTTTTGTCAGACTTGGGCAAAAATAGACTCTTTGTTTTGGTTAAAAGAAGTCCAGGTGGGATTACAGGTGCTATTCTCCTGACCCCCTTGGTAGTGATGTAACCACTTGGAAATGTTGGCAGAGACAATTTTTTAAGGGAGCCCATTCCCTGCAGCCTGTGGCAATTCGACTAAAAGGCAGCACTAACTGCAGTTGACTTCTGTTGCAGCGGTGGCTACCCAGTTGCTAAATGCATTCTTGGCCTCAGACACAAAGAAGCAGGTGCTGACCATCATTCGATAGGCTATTCCTTTTAATAACAAAAACAGAGGGGAACATAACATTGTTTTTAAAATTTTACTACTCCCCTCATTTCCTGCCCCCATACTGTGGCCCCAGGATTTAAGCTGCCCACTTTGGTGGACCCAAATCCTCCAGTTCTATATGATGTTCCTATTGGGGCAGAAATTTCCTCGGGGTTAATTGGTGACACGGTACTACCAGTAGCTGAGCAATCTGCATCTGCGGCTTTATGGCAAAAGAATTTTCGGTGGTATTGTGTTAAAAGATTTTTAACTCTCACCGGTAATCACTATCAATTACACCACCATACACTATAATGCCTCTCATTCCAATGCTTGGACGTGTTGTAATCCATTCATCCACATTTGGGTTTGCAGTTATGGTGGAAATTTTGGCCTGTTGACCTGCCTGCTGATTAATTAGTCTGCCAAGAGAAAGCAGAGATGCATGAGCATCAACATAACAGTGTTAATGGTAGGGTGCACAGGGATTCAGATATCTTCCCTGTATTCTTTCCCCAAACCTCTTTATTCCCAATTAACCATTTGCCTCATTGCCATTGAGGCATCTAGATAGTAAGACCATTTGCTACTGACCAAGAGTTGGTATACAAGTGTCAAATCCCTCTGGCCTTCTTCTGAATAGCTGGGAACATGGCTACTAGCTCAGCCAGCTGGCTGCTCCCATCCCTTCCTTCATCAGAAATACTTATGTTTTTAACAGGATTATAAGCCACGGCCTCCCCGCATCGGGTCCCACCAATGTATCTGGCAGATCCATCAGTAAACCAAGCATGTTTCTGATGCTTTGGATGAGGCAGGTCTCTTTCCCTGCCTGCAGGACTTGTTCGGTGGCTTTCTGAGTTGGCAAATTTTTTAAAAACGATACCCCCTTTGGTCCTGGCTTTACCCTATCTTGTATATACCATTCCATTATGTGATGCTACTTTCTTCAGCATGCCCTATTCGATGGGTTTTGGTGGACCTCATGACCCAAGTCATAATAGGAATTTCAGGCCTTATGAAGACATCATGGTTGAAGCAGAGAGTCTCCATTTCCAGCAAAGCCCGATAGCAAGCTAACAGTCGCTTCTCAAAAGGATTATAAGCTTCGCCAGCCTCTGGCAGCTTCCGGGTTTGAAACCCCAAGAGTCCCCTCTTCCCATCTTGTTTCTGCCAAAGGCTCCAATTAGCATGTTAATCCAGGACAGTTGTTTGCAATTCTACGGTCCCATCCCATATGGGCCATCCAGGGCCAGATGCACTGCTTGCTTAGCTTGCTCAAAGGCTGTGTTCTCTTTCTACCTCCAGTGAAAGTCATTATATTTTCTAGTGACTGCATACAGAGGTTGTGAGATGTTACCCAAATCGGGAAGATGTCTCCAGAATTCAAACAAGCCAATAAATTTCTGGGCCTCCTTTTTAGTGGTAGGGGTTGCAAATTCTAGTATTTTAACCATAGCCTTTGGTAAAATGGACTTTTTCCTTGCGTTCCATGGGATGCAAAGCAATTTTATAGTTTGTGCAGGTTCTTGAAATTTGTAAAGGCTAATTTCCCATTCTTCAGATAGGAACTGGGTTTTTACCCACTCCAAGCCCCAGCTGACTCGTTCTTCAGTTTTACCCTGACCACACCACTTGCACAGCTGTTTTTTTCATCAATAATCTGTTAGCTTTGAGCCTGATCAGTCAAGACATAGGCCTGAAATTGAGCCAGGGCCAGTCTGGAAGTCAGAGTAGTGTTTTCTTTTTCCAGTTTACATTTATCTTGTAGCAATTGATTTCTATCTCAACACATTAACTTATAAGCAGTAAGCAAGCACCATCTATGCTAAGAGATCCCCCTGGCATCTCCTTTGCTGACCGAAATCCCCTGCAGCACTTCATGCACAGTCAAAGGTTCAAATTCCAATAATTTAGATACCCAATTTTCACTAAGGTCAGTTCCCCCGACCATTCAATTGCCAAGAGGGAGAACTGGAGGAGTTTCTATCCTGGAATGTGGGAAGTCCCTGAGCTTCCAGCCGTGATCTTGAAGCTGAAAAGTGAAACCTCCATAGTCTGGTGGGTGTAGTAGCCAACTCTGGAGCCTAGGCTGTTGCTTCCCCATCTGGCCATGAATGCTGTATAGTCTGGTGAGTATATATACATAGATATAGATATAGATAGATAGATACATACATACATAGATATAGATAGATAGATAAAAATATAGATATAGATATAGATATCTGCAATGCCATTTACATGGGATAAAAAAGTTGTTTGCCCTTAAAGGTATTGTGTGTGTCTTTTCTTCTCCCATCAGCATCTCCCACACAGAACAGGAGGAGACAGGCCTTGTTACACACCTGTTTGCTGTTGTACCTCTGTTTGCTCTTTAGGTACAACAAATCATCAGCACTAATGTTAAAATAGAGATCATAAGACTGACAAAACTGACTCTGTGGCAATATAATACCAAATTATTGCCACAATTTAAGGCAGTGCAAGGCAAGTGTTAAGCCATGCATGCAGGTCAGCAATCTTGCTACATAGCATCCCTATCTCCACTTAAGAGTTAAAACTTTTATATCAGCTGACTCCAAGTTTTAGATAGAACATTACCCCTTTAACAGTTAAGCAAGAGGGAGGAGCCAAGATGGCCGAATAGGAACAGCTCCGGTCTACAGCTCCCAGCCTGAGTGACGCAGAAGACGGGTGATTTCTGCATTTCCATCTGAGGTACCGGGTTCATCTCACTAGGGAGTGCCAGACAGTGGGCGCAGGCCAGTGGGTGCGCGCACCGTGCACGAGCCGAAGCAGGTCGAGGCATTGCCTCACTTGGGAAGCGCAAGGGGTCAGGGAGTTCCCTTTCCAAGTCAAAGAAAGGGGTGACGGACGCACCTGGAAAATCGGGTCACTCCCACCCGAATATTGCGCTTTTCACACCGGCTTAAAAAACGGCGCACCACGAGATTATATCCCACACCTGGCTCGGAGGGTCCTACGCCCACGGAATCTCACTGATTGCTAGCACAGCAGTCTGATCAAACTGCAAGGCGGCAGCGACCCTGGGGGAGGGGCGCCCGCCATTGCCCAGGCTTGCTTAGGTAAACAAAGCAGCCGGGAAGCTCGAACTGGGTGGAGCCCACCACAGCTCAAGGAGGCCTGCCTGCCTCTGTAGGCTCCACCTCTGGGGGCAGGGCACAGACAAACAAAAAGACAGCAGTAACCTCTGCAGACTTAAATATCCCTGTCTGACAGCTTTGAAGAGAGCAGTGGTTCTCCCAGCACGCAGCTGGAGATCTGAGAACCAGCAGACTGCCTCCTCAAGTGGGTCCCTGACCCCTGACCCCCGAGCAGCCTAACTAGGAGGCACCCCCCAGCAGGGGCACACTGACACCTCACACAGCAGGGTATTCCAACAGACCTGCAGCTGAGGGTCCTGTCTGTTAGAAGGAAAACTAACAAAGAGAAAGGACATCCACACCGAAAACCCATCTGTACAGCACCATCATCAAAGACCAAAAGTAGATAAAACCACAAAGATGGGGAAAAAACAGAACAGAAAAACTGGAAACTCTACAACGCAGAGCGCCTCTCCTCCAAAGGAACGCAGTTCCTCACCAGCAACGGAACAAAGCTGGATGGAGAATGACTTTGACGAGCTGAGAGAAGGCTTCACACGATCAAATTCCTCTGAGCTACGGGAGGACATTCAAACCAAAGGCAAAGAAGTTGAAAACTTTGAAAAAAATTTAGAAGAATGTATAACTAGAATAACCAATACAGAGAAGTGCTTAAAGGAGCTGATGGAGCTGAAAACTAAGGCTCGAGAACTACGTGAAGAATGCAGAAGCCTCAGGAGCCGATGCGATCAACTGGAAGAAAGGGTATCAGCAATGGAAGATAAAATGAATGAAATGAAGCGAGAAGGGAAGTTTAGAGAAAAAAGAATAAAAAGAAATGAACAAAGCCTCCAAGAAATATGGGACTATGTGAAAAGACCAAATCTACGTCTGATTGGTGTACCTGAAAGTGATGGGGAGAATGGAACCAAGTTGGAAAACACTCTGCAGGATATTATTCAGGAGAACTTCCGCAATCTAGCAGGGCAGGCCAACGTTCAGATTCAGGAAATACAGAGAACGCCACAAAGATACTCCTCGAGAAGAGCAACTCCAAGACACATAATTGTCAGATTCACCAAAGTTGAAATGAAGGAAAAAATGTTAAGGGCAGCCAGAGAGAAAGGTCGGATTACCCTCAAAGGGAAGCCCATCAGACTAACAGTGGATCTCTCGGCAGAAACCCTACAAGCCAGAAGAGAGTGGGGGCCAATATTCAACATTCTTAAAGAAAAGAATTTTCAACCCAGAATTTCATATCCAGCCAAACTAAGCTTCATAAGTGGAGAAATAAAATACTTCACAGACAAGCAAATGCTGAGAGATTTTGTCACCACCAGGCCTGCCCTAAAAGAGCTCCTGAAGGAAGCACTAAACATGGAAAGGAACAACCGGTACCAGCAGCTGCAAAATCATGCCAAAATGTAAAGACCATCGAGAATAGGAAGAAACTGCATCAACTAACGAGCAAAATAACCAGCTAACATCATAATGACAGGATCAATTTCACACATAACAGTATTAACTTTAAATGTAAATGGACTAAATTCTCCAATTAAAAGACACAGACTGGCAAAGTGGATAAAGAGTCAAGACCCATCAGTGTGCTGTATTCAGGAAACCCATCTCACGTGCAGAGACACACATAGGCTCAAAATAAAGGGATGGAAGAAGATCTACCAAGCAAATGGAAAACAAAAAAGGGCAGGGGTTGCAATCCTCGTCTCTGATAAAACAGACTTTAAACCAACAAAGATCAAAAGAGACAAAGAAGGCCACTACATAATGGTAAAGGGATCAATGCAACAAGAAGAGCTAACTATCCTAAATATATATGCACCCAATACAGGAGCACCCAGATTCATAAAGCAAGTCCTGAGTGACCTACAAAGAGAATTAGACTCCCACACATTAATAATGGGAGACTTTAACACCCCACTGTCAACATTAGACAGATCAACAAGACAGAAAGTCAACAAGTATACCCAGGAATTGAACTCAGCTCTGCACCAAGTGGACCTAATAGACATCTACAGAACTCTCCACCCCAAATCAACAGAATATACATTTTTTTCAGCACCACACCACACCTATTCCAAAATTGACCACGTAGTTGGAAGTAAAGCTCTCCTCAGCAAATGTAAAATAACAGAAATTATAACAAACTATCTCTCAGACCACAGTGCAATTCAACTAGAACTCAGGATTAAGAATCTCACTCAAAACCGCTCAACTATATGGAAACTGAACAACCTGCTCCTGAATGACTACTGGGTACATAACGAAATGAAGGCAGAAATAAAGATGTTCTTTGAAACCAATGAGAACAAAGACACAACATACCAGAATCTCTGGGACGCATTCAAAGCAGTGTGTAGAGGGAAATTTATAGCACTAAATGCCCACAAGAGAAAGCAGGAAAGATCCAAAATTGACAACCTAACATCACAATTAAAAGAACTAGAAAAGCAAGAGCAAACACATGCAAAAGCTAGCAGAAGGCAAGAAATAACTAAAATCAGAGCAGAACTGAAGGAAATAGAGACACAAAAAACCCTTCAAAAAATCAATGAATCCAGAAGCTGGTTTTTTGAAAGGATCAACAAAATTGATAGACTGCTAGCAAGACTAATAAAGAAAAAAAGAGGGAAGAATCAAATAGACGCAATAAAAAATGATAAAGGCGATATCACCACCGATCCCACAGAAATACAAACTACCATCAGAGAATACTACAAACACCTCTACGCAAATAAACTAGAAAATCTAGAAGAAATGGATAAATTCCTCGACACATGCACTCTCCCAAGACTAAACCAGGAAGAAGTTGAATCTCTGAATAGACCAATAACAGGATCTGAAATTGTGGCAATAATCAATAGTTTACCAACCAAAAAGAGTCCAGAACCAGATGGATTCACAGCTGAATTCTACCAGAGGTACAAGGAGGGACTAGTACCATTCCTTCTGAAACTATTCCAAACAATAGAAAAAGAAGGAATCCTCCCTAACTCATTTTATGAGGCCAGCATCATTCTGATACCAAAGCCGCACACAGACACAACGAAAAAAGAGAATTATAGACCAATATCCTTGATGAACATTGATGCAAAAATCCTCAATAAAATACTGGCAAAACGAATCCAGCAGCACATCAAAAAGCTTATCCACCATGACCAAGTGGGCTTCATCCCTGGGATGCAAGGCTGGTTCAATATACACAAATCAATAAATGTAATCCAGCATTTAAACAAAGCCAAAGACAAAAACCACGTGATTATCTCAATAGATGCAGAAAAAACCTTTGACAAAATTCAACAACCCTTCATGCTAAAAACTCTCAACAAATTAGGTATTGATGGGACGTATTTCAAAATAATAAGAGCTATCTATGACAAACCCACAGCCAATATCATACTGAATGGGCAAAAACTGGAAGCATTGTCTTTGAAAACTGGCACAAGACAGGGATGCCCTCTCTCACCACTCCTATTCAACACAGTGTTGGAAATTCTGGCCAGGGCAATTAGGCAGGAGAAGGAAATAAAGGGTATTCAATTAGGAAAATAGGAAGTCAAATTGTCCCTGTTTGCAGACGACATGATTGTATATCTAGAAAACCCCATTGTCTCAGCCCAAAATCTCCTTAAGCTGATAAGCAACTTCAGCAAAGTCTCAGGATACAAAATCAATGTACAAAAATCACAAGCATTCTTATACACCAACAACAGACAAACAGAGAGCCAAATCATGAGTGAACTCCCATTCAGAATTGCTTCAAAGAGAATAAAATACCTAAGAATCCAACTTACAAGGGATGTGAAGGACCTCTTCAAGGAGAACTATAAACCACTGCTCAAGGAAATAAAAGAGGATACAAACAAATGGAAGAACATTCCATGCTCATGGGTAGGAAGAATCAATATTGTGAAAATGGCCATACTGCCCAAGGTAATTTACAGATTCAATGCCATCCCCATCAAGCTACCAATGACTTTCTTCACAGAATTGGAAAAAACTACTTTAAAGTTCATATGGAACCAAAAAAGAGCCCGCATCGCCAAGTCAATCCTAAGCCAAAAGAACAAAGCTGGAGGCATCACACTACCTGACTTCAAACTATACTACAAGGCTACAGTAACCAAAACAGCATGGTACTGGTACCAAAACAGAGATATAGATCAATGGAACAGAACAGAGCCCTCAGAAATAATGCCACATATCTACAACTATCTGATCTTTGACAAACCTGACAAAAACAAGCAATGTGGAAAGGATTCCCTATTTAATAAATGGTGCTGGGAAAACTGGCTAGCCATATGTAGAAAGCTGAAACTGGATCCCTTCCTTACACCTTATACAAAAATCAATTCAAGATGGATTAAAGAGTTAGACATTAGACCTAAAACCATAAAAACCCTAGAAGAAAACCTAGACATTACCATTCAGGACATAGACATGGGCAAGGACTTCATGTCCAAAACACCAAAAGCAATGGCAACAAAAGACAAAATTGACAAATGGGATCTAATTAAACTAAAGAGCTTCTGCACAGCAAAAGAAACTACCATCAGAGTGAACAGGCAACCTACAAAATGGGAGAAAATTTTCGCAAACTACTCATCTGACAAAGGGCTAATATCCAGAATCTACAATGAACTCAAACAAATTTACAAGAAAAAAACAAACAACCCCATCAAAAAGTGGGCGAAGGACATGAGCAGACACTTCTCAAAAGAAGACATTTATGCAGCCAAAAAACACATGAAAAAATGCTCATCATCACTGGCCATCAGAGAAATGCAAATCAAAACCACAATGAGATACCATCTCACACCAGTTAGAATGGCGATCATTAAAAAGTCAGGAAACAACAGGTGCTGGAGAGGATGTGGAGAAATAGGAACACTTTTACACTGTTGGTGGGACTGTAAACTAGTTCAACCGTTGTGGAAGTCAGTGTGGCGATTCCTCAGGGACCTAGAACTAGAAATACCATTTGACCCAGCCATCCCATTACTGGGTATATACCCAAAGGACTATAAATCATGCTGCTATAAAGACACATGCACACGTATGTTTATTGTGGCATTATTCACAATAGCAAAGACTTGGAACCAACCCAAATGTCCAACAATGATAGACTGGATTAAGAAAACGTGGCACATATACACCATGGAATACTATGCAGCCATAAAAAATGATGAGTTCATGTCCTTTGTAGGGACATGGATGAAATTGGAAATCATCATTCTCAGTAAACTATCGCAAGAACAAAAAACCAAACACCGCATATTCTCACTCATAGGTGGGAATTGAACAATGAGATCCCATGGACACAGGAAGGGGAATATCACACTCTGGGGACTGTTGTGGGGTGGGGGGAGGGGGGAGGGATAGCATTGGGAAATACACCTAATGCTAGATGACGAGTTAGTGAGTGCAGCACACCAGCATGGCACATGTATACATGTGTAACCTGCACAATGTGCACATGTACCCTAAAACTTAAAGTATAATTTAAAAAAATAAAAAAATAAAAAATAAAACAACTGCTCATTTTACCATCTCTTCAGTCCTTGACAAGCACCATTCTAACTTTTTTTTCCTATGAGTATATCTACTTAAGATACCTGATTATGAATGGAATCATAGACTGTCACTTTGTTCCTGGCTTATTTCAATTAACATGATCTTCTCCAGAATTATCATATAATGTGTCTTTTTAAAGACTGAATAATATTCGACTTTGTTTATGTGCCACTTGTTATTAATCTGTTCATTGGTCAAGGGACATCTGGATTGTTTCTGCCTTTTGGCTTGTGTTAATAATATTGCAATAAATTTGGTTGTGCAAATATCTCTTCCAGATCTGCGTTGTATATTTTAAGTACATAGCCAGAAGGGGGTTTGCTGGATTATATAATAATCTCATTTTAAATTTTTTGAAGAGCTGTCATACTATTTTAAATATCGGCTTGAGGCCGTAGATTATTGTGACTTTGCTTTGCATTTTTCTAGAAGAGTGATGTCGAGTATCCTTTTATTTTTTTATTTTATTTTTTAAATTTCATAAACATTTATTCACAGCCTCTTTAAAAGTACAGCAGTGAAGTAAAACCCCAATTAAACAACTGCCCATTAACTTGTTACTTAAAATTTAGACTTAAAAACCAATAGACTTTTTTTTTGGTGTGTATGCAATTACTTTTATAAACACAGTTTAGGTTGGAATAAGGAAGTCCTAATTCATCATGTTGGAGCTTGCCCTCACTGCTGCAGGCTGTTGAAGTGAGCCTCCTTCAAGATCTGGTTGATATGGGAGTAAAGACCTTGGCATGATACATACCCCTCATGCAAGAACTAGGGAAAGTTTGCATTGGGTTCAGTAACAATCTGGTTTAAGTTGCCTTCTCGTCCATCTTCTCTCTCTGGGATATTAAGGCGGCTGCTGCTCCTTTCATTATCACTCCATGAAAACTGTGTCTTGAGAATCCTGAAAGATAGGGTTTCTCTTATTCCTTTTGGGCTGGGTGGAATGATGGTTGCCCTCTTTACTGCCATTTCTTCTTCTTTTCCGTACAGGGCAGCCTCCCATAGTCCTGCCCTCGGACGAGTATCCTTTTAAATACCTAGTCATTTCTATGTCTTCTTTGGAGAAAGGTCATTTCAAACATTTACCATTCTAAATCAAGTTATTAACTTTTTGTTGTTGTTGAATTTCAGAAGTTTATATCTTTTGGAAATTAACACCTACCAAATATGTGATTAGAAAATATTTTTACACTTTTTTGTTATATGTATGTATGTATGCACATATATTACCCTATACAAGACAGGGTCTTGATATATTTTCATGGCTAGTCTCAAACTTTTGGCCTCAAATGATCGTTCTGACTTGGCCTCCTAAATTTCTAGAATTATAGGCTTGAGCCAGCATACCCAGGTTTCACCCACTTATTAGGAGACATTTGTATGCCACTAAATGTTTTCCTTGATGTGTAGAATACTTGAAGGTTAATGTAGTTCCTTTCTTTTTTGTTCTTTTCCTTGTTTCTTATGAATTTGATGTCATACTTAAGCAAAGTTTTAAGACTTATGTCATAAACTTTTCCCCTATGTTTACTTCTAAGAATTTTATTAGTTTTTATGTTTAAGCATTAAATCCATTAAAAATCAACTTTTGTTTTTATGTATAATACAAAAGAAGCATCCAACTTTATTTTTGCTCTGTAAACATTCAATTTTGAAAATCCTTTGTTAAAGAGATTCTTATTTTTCTATTGCATGGTCATGGAAAGCATATGGAAGATTATTTTATCACGTATGCGAGGGTTTATTTCCAGGATGTCTATTCTGTTTCATCATCTATGTATCCGTTTTTGTGGCAATACCATATTGTTTTTATTTTTGTAGCTTTGTATCATGATTTTAAATCAGAAAATGTAATAACTCTTTGTCCTTTTTAAAGGGTGTTTGCCTAGTCACACTTCCTAAACAACTTTTAGAATTATACACAAAAATTCTGCAAAAAAAATACCATTGGGATTTAGATGAAAATTACATTACATTTTTATATCATCATGGGTAATACTGACAACCTTTTTTTTTTCCTTTGGAGATGGAGTTTTAGTGAGTCACTCAGGCTGAAGGGCAGTGGTGTGAGCTGTGCTCACTGCAAGCTCTGCTTCCCATGTTCAAGCAATTCTCCAGTCTCAGCCACCAGTTCTCCAGTCTCAGCCACCAGAGTAGCTGGGATTACAGTCATGCACCAACATGTATAGCTAACTTTTGTATTTTTAGTAGAGATAGGGTTTTGCCATGTTGGCCAGGCTAGTCTCAAACTTCTGATCTCAAGTGATCCACACACTTTGGCCTCCCAAAGTCCTGGGATTACAGGCATGAGTCACGCGCCGGCCCTGACATCTTAACAATATTAAATCACCTGACACTTGAGCAAGACTATATGTAAGATTTTGCTTAATTTCCTCTTATTTACGTATCTGAAACATTTTCTTGCTTTTGATTTCTAGTTTCATTTACATTGCATGACTTCAGTTTTCTTAAATTTAATAAGACATGTATCCTAACAGAATGTACCATGTGTGATTGAGAATATTGCATATTTTGCTGCTTTCGATCACAGAGTTCTGTAAATGCTTGTTAGGTCTATAATGTTCAGGTTTGGCTTTCTTACTGATATTACATCTGACTATTCTAGTCATTATTGAAAGCGGAGTCTTGAAGTCCGCAATTGTTGTGTTGCTATATATTTCTTGCTTGACTTCTGTCAATATTTGTTTTACATATTTGAAAGACGAGAATCAGTTGAACCTGGGAGGCGGAGGTTGAAGTGAGCCAATCGCGAGATCGTGCCATTGTCCTCCAGCCTGGGAGACAGAAACTCTAACTCCAAAAAAAAAAATAAGAAAGATATCAGTGTTATTTATAGTAATATAAAAATTTAATGTAATTTTTATCAAAATCCCAATGGTATATTTTTGCAGATTTTGCAGATGGTATAATTTTTCAAATTATATATATGATTTCTAAATTATTGTTATGGATTTCTTGCAAGTTAATCCATCTCACCGTTACATAATAACAATCTGTCTCTTTTTAAAATTTTTAACTTAAAATATATTTTGTTTAATATAATTATGACCATGCCCCTCCAATTGTAGCTACTCTTTGCATAAAATATATTTTCTTTATACTGCTACTTTCAACTTATTTGGGTCCTTAGAGCTAAAGTGACTCTTGTAGAGAGTACATTGCTGGATCTTCTTTGTTCTTAATCCATTAAATCATTTTATGCATTTTCTTTAAGGTATTTAACTTTTTGTATTTGAAGTAATTACTGTAGTTAATGAAGTTACTATTATTATTTGTAATTGTCTTCTGTGTTTCTTGTAGATGTGTTATTTATCATTTTTTTCTCTTACTGCTTTATTTTTCTTCATTGATTTTGTAGTGACATGATTCAATTTCTTTCTCATTTGCTTCTGCATACCATCTACAGGTTTTTTTGTAATCATCTTGAGAAATAAAGACTTCATAAAACATCTTAAAGTTATGACAATATATAATGACTATATTTCAATGGAATGCAAAGCTTTACCTCTTTATACCCCCACTTTGTTATTAATATCACTTGTTATCTTTTCTTATTGAGTATCTATGAACCCATATTTATGCAGCTTTCTGCTTCATTTTTTAAATTCCATAGCAATAACGTGAAAGTTTTGTGCACCATCATTATGACAGTAGAGGTTTCTATAGCTGTTTATGTATTTACCTTTAATAGAGAGCTTTCTATTTTCATATGCTTTTATGACGCTGTGCAGCATATATTGTCATTTTTGGACGTGATAGACTTTCTTTTACATTTCCTTTAGCACTGTTCCAGTGGCTAGTAACACACTCAACTTTTATTTGTTTTGGAAATGCTTAACTTTTTTTTCTGAAGTGAAATTATTCCAGTTGAAGGTTTTTGTTTAGCATGATTTCTTCTTGTTTAATTACCTTGTCATCTAGGGAGTTCTCAGCTACTTTTTAAAAATATCCTCTTTATTATTTTTCTCCTATACTGTTTTTCTAAGACTCCTTTTATAAATACAGTGGTCCACTTGGTGGTGTGCTGTAAGTCCCAATTTTGATTTTTTCTCTATTCTGTTTAAAAAATTTGTTTTCATGAATCAGTATTTATAAGTGCAATGTTATCAACTGTCTAATTTTTTCTGCTTTATTAAATCCGCTTTTGTGACTGCTGATTAAATTTTTAATATAGTTACTGTGTTCTTCAGAGTCACAATTTTTCTTGGTTTTTAAAAATCTTTTTATTGATATCTCGTTTTCTTCATGCATCACTTCTAATATTCTTTTGTTGTCTATGTTCTGTTTTTGTTCATTAAGCACTTTTTTCTAATTACATTTTAATGTAATTAGAATGTCCACTTTTACAATACACAAATACAGTAACGGTAACTCGCACTAAAACAAAGCATACTTCTGATAGCCATTATTTTTCTCTTTGGGACAAATTTAAAGTTTTTCTTTTGTCACAAAAACAGGAATGTACTTATACAAAGGCTCAAAATAGGCCATCTTTTTAAACAAAAAGGCAATGATTCACAAAAGACTATGAATAGAACATGTAACTAATTGATACAAATCTAATAGGATTTGTTAAAATCAGCCACATCCAATACATCTGAAGTGTTCTTGTATAAAATATCACGTGAAGAAAAGAAGACTTTATCAATATCTTAAAAAGTGGGTTTGTTCATAGTCTGACAAGTTACCATTAAAAGTGTTCCTTTGACATAGGGAAATGCAATATTATTTTTCTTGAACCCTCTCAGCGCAAGACTTTCCACTCAATAAAATCGCAGAGGATCTGAAACTGAGAAAATATACTTGATTACTAACAGCTTGTGAAACTTAATACTTTTTTTTTTTTTGCATCATCAGCGGCTTTTACTGAACTTACAACCAACTTGCCGCTCAATATGCAGCTCAGATGTGAGAGACGCGTCTCTGTACAGGAGCCGGTACTGTCTTCAATCCTTTGCATGCAGGTGTTTACCACAGGCAAACAGTTTACTCCACATTTTCTAGTAATGTAATCTTCCTATTAGCAAAAAGCGGTAACCAGTCCCTGTAGACTGAAGGGACTCAAGTCACAGGATGCGGATTTCCTCTTCATGGTTTTTATTTTGATATTTGAACTGCTGATGCAACATATAAGCAGGGTGTTCAGGACCTGCTGTGTCTAAGGGACTGATAAAGGGAAAAGTTCTATTTATTCTTTGTGATTTGATGCACAGATGAAAAACTTAACACACAATAATAGAAGTTGGTCGTTAATAAATCACACCCTAGTCTTTCAGAGCTTCCGTAAGCAGACGACATTGTCAGTTTTCTAGCTCTTGTTTTAACACTGCAACAACAATGATGCATATGTCCGGAATCAGCTAAAAAGGCCGTCAGATTCTTTTTCTCTTAGATTATCTATTTTTCACTGTTCCCAAGTATATCTGAATAATTACCTTCCGGCATTCTCTGCTATTGCTCGTTGGGATGCTCTCGACTGTCCCCGTGTTTTGTGGGCTGTTGGGAGAGGGCCCTTGGGAAGGATGTACCACTGTTGGGAGGTTGTCAGTCACTGGGATGTCTCCAGGGATGATGTCTTCCCTGGCCGCAGAAGTCCTCCTGGAGCCACGCCCACCATGCCTGGCAGATATCTGTAGGTAGCACCACTGAGCTCAGGATGAATTTCTTGCTGGTCTATTACGGACCAAAGCGCTGATGTGACAAAGAATTCCTTGTTCACACAGTTTCTTAAGCTTCCCGGGATGCGACTTATGATGGCTTGGCGGATCTCAGTGGCAACTGCCTCGCTCATCTCCAGTGACACCTGCTGGCTGTAGCAGGCAGTGAGAGGAGTGCAGATGAGATTCCAGGCATCTTTCAACAGACCCCGAGCAAAACTAAAGGGCTCCGACTCATTCACGTCGAGGGCTGCCCCTCGTATTCTGCCCTCCTTGAGGGTGTGTGCTCAGGCTTTCTCGTCCACCAGGCCACCACAGGCTGCGTTCACAAGGAATGCTCCCTGCCTCATCTGCTTTATGGTAAAGTCATGGATAAGGTGGTAGTTTTGTTCGTTGAGATTGCAATGCAAGAAGACGCAGTCGTTCTGATACAGCAAATCCTGCTGGGTGTAGACCCTATGCACACCCAGGGACCGCTCGATCCCATCCTGCAAAGGCCTTGGCTCTAACTGCAACCTCCTGCTGCGTGCGACCGAAGCCGATGAGGCCCAATATCTCCCCACGAATGCGGGCCTTTACTGAGGCCACCTCGCCAATCTGCTCCACGCTGTGAACTCGTGTGCCTTCCCTCAGTGCCTGGTACAGTGACCTGTTCCCCCAGTACAGATTGAGGATGTGGCCGGTGGTGGAGTCGGCTGTCTCTTCCACGGCTGCGGACGGGATGCTGCACACAGCAATTTCGAGCTCGCCAGCAGCCTTGATGGCCACGTTGTCGTAGCCACTGCCCACCTGCATGATCACTCTCAGGGCCTTGAAATTTTCCAGGTCCTCCCTGGTGAGGGAGAAGGTGTGGTACATCATGGCGCCCACGACTTCGTTTAGAACTTTCTCGTGGATCTCCTGCATGGACTGAGCCTCACAGAAGGCCAGGTGGCCAGGTCCTTCAGGATGGGCATGTCCACAGTGCAGTCCCGTCCATCCAGCAGAGCCACCACGAGGCGGGGTTCAGGGTGACTTTCATGATCTGGGGGCAAATTCCTCACAAATTCTGTCCAATCGCTGTCTCTTGACTTAGCGCTTATCCACAAGGGCCATTCTTTAGGGAACTTTGCAACTCTCAGATCAAAAGGCAAAGCAGTCCTCTAAGAACTTAGGGGAACTCGCAGGAGTCTGCGTGCATGACGCCACTATGAACCCAATATAAATTTGTTCACAAACTCTATAGTTCACACGATGGGTTGTCCGTCTTTTTAAGGGAATACAGCTTCTTTGGTTCAAAACCATTTAAGGTGATGAAACCCGTTTGCTTGCAACTCCGCCACAATCGCGCAGCCACCAACGAATCTCACCACGACCCCAGGCCGAAGCCGCCTCCATTCCCAGGGATGGCGGACTCTGGGCGCTCTAGACCTGGGGTCGTGGTGAGATTCTCCCTTGGATGCCCCTGTTCTACAGTAAAGGAAAATCTTTGGAATGTAAAAAGAGAGAAAATAATAGGCATCACCCCAATAGGCAAGAATGAACAAATAACAAAGATGAGAGGTGCAAAGGCCAAGGAGGAAACTTTAAAAATGTGATGTGGGAAGTTCGCTTCAATGAAATTGGTTCTGGAAAATCCTAGATTTACTTCTTTTGCTGCCACAGATGGACATTTCCTACCCTATGCTTATTATGCTCCTAAATCTTCTAAGGCTCCTCCTGTCCCTCCACTAACATTCCAGGGCATTCACAGTGACAGCCGAAGTTCTCCTCTTCTTTCTGCTATTCCCTTGAAGGCCTTGTGGTCTGAGTGTTTTTCCATTGTTTTGGGGGATCTGGGGAAATCTGCACATTTTGCGAGACTTCTATATTAAGCTATTTTGTAAAAATCTGTTCCTCATGTCAGAAGTTTGTGAGAGTAAAAGTGCAGGCATTGGGGTTTGGTTCACATATTTCAGAAACACCAAGGACAAATGTTTCTGCTTCATAATTTTCAGTCCTATGATTTCAAATGTGATCCTGCAAAAAAATCGGAAAAACTTTTATCAGAGCCCAAAACATCTCAGCACATATGATATAGTGAAGCTTGTATTTCACTTTATTCTTTTTTTCATCTCTGGTAATGGAGGTCAAAAAGTTTTCTTTTCCTTGGTAGAAATTAACTTAAAAACGTGAACTCTCTATGCCAAGCACCTCACCTGTGGAATAGTTTATTGTATCTACTCACCTCAAAGAATTTTTAAAGACCTTAATGCCATAGAAAAACTTAGAAACCTGCCAAGAATAGAATAAATTCTTAATTGTTACATTATTTCTTATTGAGTTATTTTATTATTTAATCTTACATAAAGCTTAGTGGGACTGTGATCTGCACGTTTTCACTTTTTGATTTTTATGTATCCCAAATTAGCCTATAATTTTAGCTTCAGGGATTTCAGAATAGCATACTTGAATTTATGTGTTATATAAAAAGTGAATTACTTAGTATGCACCTCACATTAATAAAATTTCAGTTTGTGTGTCTAAGTTTACTGCATAGAAAAACTTATCATTAGTGTTTCTATTAACTTTCCTCAACATTATCCGAATGATAGTATAATTTATTTCTCATTGCTTATTATGTAGTAGTGTTTCATTGCATATTTTTCAATATTCATGTTGTTCCCATATTTAAAAATGTAAAGCTTTTCTTTACTTAAAAAAAAAAATAAATTATAGGCCAGTGCGGTGGCTCACGCTTGTAATCCCAGTACTTTAAGAGGCTGAGGTGGGTGGATCAAAATGTCAGGGGTTCAAGACCAGCCTGGCCAACATGGTGAAACCCCGTCTCCACTAAAACCACAAAAAGAATGAGCAGGGCATGGGGGCGGGTGCCTATAATCCCAGCTACTCGGGAGGCTGGGGCAGAGAATTGCTTCAGCCTGGTAGGTGGAGGATGCAGTGAGCCAAGGTCTCGCCACTACACTCCAGCCTGGGTAACAGAGCGAGACTCTGTTCTCTAATATCATTGAAATCTTCATTAAAATTTTCTTCTAAATGTTCTTTATAGAAGATTATAATGCATTTGTTGTGAAATTTTGTTACTCTAACCATATGCTAATAATTCAAAATCTGTTCTTTATGGGTGTCCAGTTATGGTTGAATATTTCAGTTATCTAGAAAGAGTCTTCTTCAGTTGCAAGATTTGTTTATTCAGTATTTCACAGGTTAATGTTTATCCAATTTTGTTTTGTAATATTTTATATTCCTGTATTTTCCTGTTAGGATAGGCTGTCTTACATCATTTAAGTGTGTTTTTAGTTTCTGCTTCTATGTTATAATTTTTTATGACTATATTTAACTGTGTACACTTTAAAAGAGTGTAGAAAAAAAGTCAAATATGAATCAACCATATGTGTATTGCCAACATAATTCTCTGTTCGTTTGACTGTATAAACATTACTCATGCTTTATTTATGACTTCTGTATTTATTTAATTAGTTGGTGGTCAATTATTTTTTTAATCCTCTCTGGGTGAGTAGTTGTGGAAATTGCCCTAATTTCCACATCTATGTATTAATGAATCTATATTACGTTTGCGTGAGGAAAACACCTCTGTGATGCGAGGGTAATTTTTTTTTTTTTTTTTTTGACCACAGAAGTTTTTATTGCCCTCCTGCTCCGCAAAGGGACCTTGCTTCTGCTGGCTTAGCACCTCAAGACGTCTGTGATGTTGGTCTCAGACACCACTTTGCCGTCCACTATCCTGTGGGTGTTGGTCTTTTGGATGCTTTACAGGTATTTGCTGCTGTCCAGAATACCACCAAGATTGAAGTCCTCCCCATCTTCTAGCAGGCGGCAGTAGGTGGCAATCTCTGTGAAATGGGACACAGAGATCCAGGAGCCCCAGACCCCACGCCTCATAGAAGCTCGCCGCGCTGCTGACCTGCTGAGCACTTTAGCTGGGCGACTGGACAGATCCCAGGGACAGGTAGTAGTTGATGGAGAAGGTGCGGAGCAAGTGGTGAAGCTCGCTGTGTACGGGGAGGAAAGCGAGAGGACAGGACTCAGGTTTTGCCGAGGTCCTGAAGATAATTATTGAAATGCATTAAAACGGTATCTCACTTAGATATTATTATTGTTTACATTGTTATAAGAAACATATAAAATTGACAATTATTTACAATTTTACAATAATTTACAATGACAATAATTATATAGTTTAGACTTTTCAGCACATTGACATTATTCGACGTATCTCTAGAACATTTTTATCTTACAAAACTAAAACTCAATACACCTGAAACAACTGCCTGTCTTCTCCTTTGTTCAGCCCTTTACAAATGCTATCTTATTCTCTGTTTCTAAGGATGTTACTACTTTAGATATTTTATACATGTGGATACACTCAGTATCTGTCTTGTAGCTGGCTTATTTTATTTAGCATAATGTCATCAAGATTTTATTTTTATTATAGATAAAAGGTTTTCTGCTTTTCAAAAGCTGGGTAATATTCTATTGTTTTTATATTCCAAATTGTACCCATTCATTTGTTTGTTGAGGGAAGTATGGATTGCTTTAACCTATTGATTTTTGTAAGTAAAGCTACAATAAATACGTGAGCGTTTACATCTTTTTTGCACTCGGTTTTATTAGTCTATTTGTCTGTCTTTATGCCAGTAACAAACTACTTAGATTACTGTAGATTTGTAACAGGTTTTGAAAACAGGAATTGTAATGTTTCCAAAATTT
This sequence comes from Homo sapiens, assembly GCF_000001405.40. Taxonomy (NCBI): domain Eukaryota; kingdom Metazoa; phylum Chordata; class Mammalia; order Primates; family Hominidae; genus Homo; species Homo sapiens. The sequence continues at coordinate 75,262 of NW_021160013.1, forward strand.
TTCTCTTTTTGAAAACTGTAGAGTTCTTTGTGGTCTCCTGAAATTCCATATACTTTTGGGAGTCACATTTTCTGTATCTGTCAAAAATAAAATTAAGAATTTTATAGGGATTGTATTAAATCTGTAGGTCACTTTTGGCATTATAGACATGTTCAAAATAGTAAGTTTTCTAACTCTTGAACAAAAGCATGTTCAAGAGTAAATTGCTTAATTTTTACATATTTGTGAATTGTATGAATTTTCTTCTGTTATCGATTGCTAGTTTTAATCCTTTTTGGTCAGAAATTATAGTATGTAACATTCAATTTTTTTATTATACTTTAAGTTCTAGGGTACATGTGCAGAACGTGCAGGTTTGTTACACAGGTATACATGTGCCATGTTGGTTTGCTGCTCCCATCAACTCATCATTTACATTAGGTATTTCTCCTAACGCTATTCCTTTCATAGTCCGTCACCCCCAAACAGGCCCCAATGTGAGATGTTCCCCGCCCTGTGTCCATGTGTTCTCATTGTTCAACTCCAACCTATAAGTGAGAACATGCGGTGTTTGGTTTGAAGTCCTTGTGATAGTTTGCTGAGAATGATGGTTTCCATCTTCATCCATGTCCCTGTAAAGGACATGAACCCATCCTTTTTATGGCTGCATAGTATTCCATGCTGTATATGCTCCACAATTTCTTAATCCAATCTATCATTGATGGACATTTGCGTTGGTTCCAAGACTTTGCTATTGTGAATAATGCCGCAATAAACATATGTGTGTGTGTGTCTTTATAGTAGCATGATTTATAACTCTTTGGGTATATACCCAGTAATGGGATTGATGAGTCAAAAGGTATTTCTGGTTCTAGATCCCTGAGGAATCACCACACTGTCTTCCACAATGGTTGAACTAATTTACACTCCTACCCACAGTGTAAAAGTGTTTCTATTTTTCCACATCCTCTCCAGCATCTGTTGTTTCCTGAAATTTTAAAGATCGCCATTCTAACTGGCGTGAGATGATATCTCATTGTGGATTTGATTCGCATTTCTCTGATGACCAATGATGAGCAATTTTTCATATGTCTGTTGGCTGCATAAATGTCTTCCTTTGAAAAGTGTCTGTTATATCCTTTCCCCACTTTTTGATAGGGTTGTTTTTTTTTCTTGTAAATTTGTTTTAGCTATTTGTAGATTCCTGATATTAGCCCTTTGTCAGATGGGTAGATTGCAAAAATTCTCTCCCATTCTGTAGGTTGCCTGTTCAATCTGATAATAGTTTTGTTTGCACCCTGGTTTCGAACCAGGTACGCTACGGTCCCGGGGTCGTGAGCGAGGGCTGATGGGAAGGCACTTTCGTGCATGGGGGACACAGGCCCCGCTTCTCGGCTGTGAGGTTTTTTTTTCTTTTTTTTTCTTTTTTTTCCCTGCCACATGTGACTCACCTCCCCTCCCTCAAACCTAACCTTCCCCTCAGGGGCCTTCTGCCCGCTTTGGGGTACCCATAGCGGGACCGAGACGCTCCCTGGGTTCGAACCAGGGTCCGGGGCCATGTGCAGGGGCTGATGGGAAGGCACTTTCGTCCGTGGAAGACCTAGGAACGCTTCTCGGCGGCGCGGTTGATTTTTTTTTTTTTTTCCTGACAGAGGTGCTTCACCTCCCCTCCCTCAAATCTTACCTTCACCTCAGGGGCCTTCTGCCCGCTTTGGGGTACCCCTAGCGGGCCCGAGAAGCGCCATGGGTTCGAATCAGGGGCGCCAGGTTCCCTGGGACCCAGAGCAGGGGTTGAAGGGAAGGCAGTTTCGTGCATGGGGGACCCAGGCCCCGCTTCTCGGCGGCGCGATTTTTTTTTTTTCCTGCCACAGGTGCCTCACATCCCCTCCCTCAAACCTAACCTTCCCCTCAGGGGTCTTCTGCCCACTTTGCGATACCCCTAGCTGGCCCGAGGCCCTCCCTGGGTTGGAATCAGGAACGCCAGGGTCCCCGGGTCCCAGCGCAGGGATTGAAGGGAAGGAACTTTCGTGCGTGCAGGACCCAGGAACGCTTCCTGGTGGCGAGTTCTGTTTTGTTTTTTTTCCTGCCACAGGTGCTGCACTTTCCCTCCCTCGAACCCCACCTTCCCCTCAGGGGCCTTCTGCCCGCACTGGGGAAACCCTAGCGGGCCGAGATTCTCCCTGGGTTCGAAACAGGGACGCCAGGGTCCCGGGGCCCTGCGCTGGGGCTGATGGGAAGGCACTTTCTTCCGAGAAGGACCCAGGAACGCTACTCGGAGGCGCGCTGTTTTTTCCTTTTTTTTCTGCTACAGCTGCGTCACCACCCCTCCCTCACACCTTAACTTCCCCTCAGGGGCCCTCTGCCCGCTTTGTGGTACCCCTAGCGGGCCCGAGAGGGCCCTGAGTTGGAACCGGCGATCCATGGTAACCGGAGCCCAACCCAGGGACTGATGGGAAGGCACTTTTATCCGTGGGGGACCCAGGCCCCGGTTCTCCGGGGCGCTTTTTTTTTTTCCTGCCACGGGTGCCTCACCTCCCCTCCCTCAAAGCTTACCTTCCCCTCAGTGGCTTTTGTCCGCTTTGGTGTACCCCTAGCCGGCCCGAGACGCTGCATGTGTTCTAAGCAGGGACGCCAGGTTCCCCGCGGTCCAGCACAGGGGCTGATGGGAAGGAACTTTCGTCCGTGGGGGACCCAGGAACGCTTCTCGGTGGCGCGTTTTTTTTTTTTTTTTTGTGCCACAGGTGACTCACCTCCTCTCCGTCACACCTTACCTTCCCCGCAGGGGCCTTCTGCCCACTTTGAGGTATCCCTAGTGGGCCCGAGATGCTCCTTGTGTTCAACCAGTGACGCCAGGGTCCCCGGGACCCAGAGCAGAGGCTGATGGGAAGGCACATTCGTCCCTGGGGGACCCAGTCTCGGCTTCTCGACGGCTCGGTTTGTTTTTTTTTTCCTGCCACAGGTGCCTCCCCTCCCTCAAACCTAACCTTCCCCTCAAGGGCCTTCTGCTAGCTTTGGAGTACCCCTAGCGGGCCCGAGACGCACCCTGGGTTCGAACCAGGGACGGCAGGTTCCCGGGGCCATGCGCGGGGGCTGATGGGAAGGCACTTTCTTATGTGGTGGACACAGGCCCTCTTCTTGGCGGCGCTGTGTTTTTTGTTTTTTGTTTTTTTTCCTGCCACAATTGCCTCCCCTCCCCTCCCTCAAACCTAATCTTCCCCCTCAGGGGCCTTCTGCCCGCTTTGGGGTACCCCTATCGGGCCCGAGACGCACCCTGGGTTCAAACCAGAGATGTCAGGGTCCCGGGGCCATGCGCTGGGGCTGATGGGAAGGCACTTTCGTCCTTGGGGGACCCAGTCTCCGCTTCTTGGCGGCGCGGTTTTTTTTTTTTTTCCTGCCACAGGTGCCTCATCTCCCCTCCCTCAAACCTTAACTTCCCCTCAAGGACCTTCTTCCCGCTTTGGGGTACCCCTAGCTGGCCCGAGACGCACCCTTGGTTCGAACCGGGGACGCCAGGGTCACCGGGGCCCAGAGCAGGGACTGATGGGAAGGCACTTTCTTCCGTGGGGGACCCAGGAATGCGTCTCGACGCTGAGTTTTTTTCTTTTTTTTTTTTCATCCACAGGTGCCTCACCTCCCTTTCCTCAAACCTAACCTTCCCCTCAGGGGCCTTCTGCCCGCTTTGGGGTACCCCTAGCGGGCCTGAGTCGCTCTCTGGGTTCGAACCAGGGACGCCAGAGTATCCAAGGCCCAGTGCAGGGACTGATGGGAAGGCACTTTCGTCCGTGGGGGAACCAGGAACGCTTCTTGGCGGCGAGTTTTTTTTTGTTTTGTTTTGCGTTTTTTTTTTTCTGCCACAGGTGCCTCACCTGCACTCCCTCAAACCTTACCTTCCCCTGAGGAGCCTTCTGCCCGCTTTGGGTATGCCTAGCGGGCCCTTTACAAGAAGCTCTTTAGTTTAAGTAGATCCCGTTTGTCAATTTTGGCTTTGTTGCCATTGCTTTTGGTGTTTTAGTCATGAAGTCTTTGTCCATGCCTATGGTATTGCCTAGGTTTTCTTGTAAGTTTTTATGGTTTTAGGTCTTACATTTAAGTCTTTAATCCATTTTCACTTAATTTTTGTATACAGTGTAAGGAAGGGATCCAGTTTCAGTTTTCTGCATATGGCCAGCCAGTTTTCCCAGCACCATTTATTAAATAAGGAATCCTTTCCCCATTGCTTGTTTTTGTCAGTTTTTTTCAAAGATCGGATGGTTGTAGATGTTTGGTGTTATTTCTGAGGCCTCTGTTCTGTTCCATTGGTCTATGTATCTGTTTTGGTACCAGTACCATGCTTTCCTTGCTGTAGCCTTGTATTATAGATTGAAGTCAGGTAGCGTGATTCCTCCAACTTTGTTCTTTTTGCTTAGGATTGTCTTGACTATGCGGGCTCTTTTTTGGTTCCATATGAACTTCAAGGTAGTTTTTTCCAATTCTGTGAAGAAAGTCAATGGTAGCTTGGTGGGGATGACATTGAATCCATAAATTACCTTGGGCAGCATGGCCATTTTCACAATATTGATTCTTCCTTTCCATGAGCACGGAATGTTCTTCCATTTGTTTGTGTCCTCTTTTATTTCGTTGAGCAGTGGTTTGTAGTTCTCCTTAAAGAGGTCCTTCACATCCCTTGTAAGTTGGATTCCTAGGTATTTTATTCTCTTTGAAGCAATTGTGAATGGGAGTTCACTCAGGATTTGACTCTCTGTATGTTATTGTAGGAATGTTTGTGATTTTTGCACATTGATTTTGTATCCTGAGACTTTGCTGAAGTTGCTTATCAGCTTAGGAGATTTTTGGCTGAGACGACGGAGTTTTCTAAATATACAATCATGTCATCTGCAAACAGGGACAATTTGACTTCCTCTTTTCCTAGTTGAATATGCTTTATTTCTTTCTCTTGCCTGATTGCCCTGGCCATAACTTCCAACACTATGTGGAATAGGAGTGATGAGAGAGGACATTCTTGTCTTGTGCCGGTTTTCAAAGGGAGTGCTTCCAGTTTTTGCCCATTCTGCATGATATTGGTTGTGAGTTTGTCATAAATAGTTCCTATTATTTTGAGATACATTCTGTCAATATCTAGTTTATTGAGCATTTTTTAGCATGAAAGGCTGTTGAATTTTTTCGAAGGCCTTTTCTGCATCTATTGAGATAATCATGTGGTTTTCGTCATTTGTTCTGTTTATGTGATGGATTATGTTTACTGATATGCATATGTTGAACCTGCATCCCAGGGATTAAGCACACTTGATCTTGGTGGTTAAGCTTTTGAAGTGCTGCCTGATTCGGTTTGCCAGTATTTTATTGAGAATGTTTGCATCGATGTTCATGAGGAATATTGGCTTAAAATTTTCTCTTTTTGTTGTGTCTTTGCCAGACTTTGGTATCAGGATGATGCTGGTCTCATAAAATGAGTTAGAGAGGATTCCCTCTTTTTCCATTGATTGGAATAGTTTCAGAAGGGTTGGTACCAGCTCCCCTTTGTACCTCTGGTAGAATGTAGCTGTGAATCCGTCTGGTCCTCGACTTGTTTTGGTTGGTAGGCTATTAATTATTGCCTCAATTTCAGAACCTGTTATTGGTCTATTCAGAGATTCAACTTCTTCCTTGTTTAGTCTTGTGGGGGATGTATATGTCCAGGAATTTACCCATTTCTCCTAGATTTTCTAGTTTATTTGCGTAGAGGTGTTTATAACATTCTCTGATGGTAGTTTGTATTTCTATGGGATCAGGGGTGATAGCCCCTTTATCATTTTTTATTGCTTCTCTTTGATTCTTCTCTCTTTTCTTTATTAGTCTTGCTAGCAGTCTATTTTGTTGATCTTTTCAAAAAAATAACTCCTATATTCATTGATTTTTTGAATTTTTTGTAACATTCAATTTTTCAAAAATTCTGTTCAGAATTGTTTTTTGGCTTCATAGTTATTTTTAGGAGAATGTTTCATGAGCTTTTGAGAAGATTGTGAGTTTTGTTTTTGTGTAGAGTGTTCTGTATGCATCTGTTATATCTAATTGCTTTACAGTATTTTCATGTCGTCTGTTTACTTTTTAATATTCTATCTGGCTTTTTTATTAATTACAGAACTGGTGTATTAAAATATTATACTTTTAATATATTGCCGTTTTTGCTTATGTTCTGTCAAGATATTATTGATATATTTAAAAATACTCATGTAAGGTGCATACATATTTGTGTGAATACATAATTAGATATATACACACAATTATGTAAATGTGTATAATTGTCATAGGTTTCCAGTGAATAAACCCTTTTATTATTTTGTCCTTTGTTTTTCTGACAATTTGATTTCATAATATATTTTATAAACTAAGACAGTTATTTAAAAAGCATTTTGCATACTATAATTGTGACATAGTCTGTCCTCATTTGGTTATGATTTGCATAATTTTTTGGATGCATCTTGCCACATTTAGTCTGTTTTTGTTACTATAGAGTAAGATGGCTCATATCTGTCATCCTAGCATTTTAGGAGATTGAGGTGGGAGGATCACGTGAAACCAGGAGTTTGAGACCAGCCTGGGAAACAAAGCAATACCAAGTCTCTAAAATAAATAAATAAATAAATTGAGTCCCTTTAGACAGATGTAGTTAGATTTTCTTTCTTTTTTTTTTTTAATTCCTATACTCAATTTATGACTTTTGGTTGAGAAGTTTAGTTTGTGAGTAGTTACATAATTTCCTGCATTTGAAGGAATTACTTTTGACACTTTGTGGAGTAAAATTTAAATATTAAATTTGAACTCAATTGAATCTGGACTCAAACAATGGTCACCAAGTCCTGGAACAGGTTGTGTGAGCCCCTTGAGGCTTTCATCCAGCGCTGTTTCGGATAAATCTCTATTTCAATTTATTCCTATATGTTAGTTACTGAAAAACAACAGACAATCAAAAAAACAAGTTGATCTTTTTCTTTTCCTTGAGCCCAGAAATGAAGGGCCCTCCTGACTGGACGTCATGCCAGATAACTCATTACAAAAAGAGCTAGGGTTCCAGACTGTGCCAAAACTTCATGAGATCTCTTCTCATCTGTTCACGGACAAGTGGCCAACTCTGGAGCCCAGTCTGTTGCTTCGCAGTCTGGTGGTGAATCCTCCATAGTCTGATGAGTGTAAATATATATATCTCTTTTCCCTTCTCTCCGTCCCATTGCAACTTGCTTATTATATCATTTGCTTATTATATCTGCATTGCCATTTACGTGGGATACAGTTTGTTTACCCTTAAAGGTATTGTGTGTGTGTGTGTGTGTGTGTGTGTGTGTGTGTGTGTGTGTGTGTTTCCTTCTCTCCTTGAGCATTTCCTGCGCAGAACATTTTTGGCTTCACGAACAGGATCCGAAAGCAAAAGCATGCCATTTTTTGGTGCAGGGACCAGACTGGGAGCTCGGGGACTTTCCATATCTTCAGATGGGAACTCCCCTAGTTCTTCCCCTTGGCCATTCAGTGGTCCAAGGGAGCTGGCGTTTGTGAAAATAGGCAATCTAAGTTAGTGCATTTTGAATCATTGGCTGTGTGTGAGGAGGTGCAGGGAATCCCAGTTGGTAAATGGGATGCTGAGAGAATTTCCCGGCATGGATGGTGCTTGCTTACTGCTTATAAGTTAATGTGTCAAGATAGGAATCAGCTGCTACAACAGAAATGTAAGCCAGAAAAGAAAATGCTAATCTGACTTCCAGGCTGGCCCTGGCCCATGGCCAGGCCTATGTCTTGACTGATCAGCCTCAAAGTTATCAGCCTATTGCTGAAAAAAAGCAGCTGCCTGAGTGGCCCAGTCAGCGTAAAACTGAAGAACTAGTCAGCTGGGGCTTGGATCCGGTAAAAACCCAAATCCTATCTCAAGGATGGGAAGTTAACCCTAGTAAAATTCAAGGACCTCCACAAACTGTAAAGTTCCTTGGCATCCTATGGAATGCAGGGAAACAGTCCATTTTACCAAAGGCTAAGGCTAAAATACTAGAATTTGCAGCCCTACCACTGAAAAGGAGGTCCAAAATTGTATTGGTTTGTTTGGATTCTGGAGACATCATATTCCCCATTTGGGTAACATTTTACAACCTCTGCATGCGGTCACTAGAAAACGCTATGACTTTCACTGAAGACAGAAAGTGAGCGTGGCTTTTCAACCAGCCAAACAAGCAGAGCAACAGTATGGCCCTTACAGGATGGGCCAGTAGAACTGCAAGTAACTGTCCTAGATCAACACGCTCATTGGAGCCTTAGGTAGAAACAAGATGGGAAGAGATACCTTTGGGGTTTTAGACCCAGAAGCTGTCAGAGGCTAGCAAAGCTTATACTCTTTGAGAAGCAGCTGTTGACCTGCTACTGGGCTTTACAGGAAACAGAACACCTTTGTCTTAATCATGATGTTTTTATGAGGCCCCAAATTCCTAATATGACTTGGGTCATGAACTCCCTCAAACCTCATTGGATAGGGTACACTCAAGAAAGTAAATGGAAATGGCACATACAAGACCAGGCTAAGCCGGAACCAAAACAGGTATCATTTTTAAATGAGGATGTGCAAAACTTGCCAGCTCAGCAAACCACTGAGCAAGTCCTGCAGATAAGGAAGGAAACCTCCCCTGCCCAATGGGGCAAATCCTTTAAAGAACCAAGCCCAGACGATCAGAGACATGCTTGGTTTGCTGATGATTCCACCAAATATATTGATGGGACCCGATGCTGGGAGGCCGTGGCTTATAATCCTGTTAAAAACATAAGCATTTCTGAGGAAGGGAGGGGTGTTAGCAGCCAGCTGGCTGAACTAGAATCTGTTCTCTGAACTATTCAGGAGGAGGCCAGAGGGATTTGTTACTTGTATACCTACTCTTGCTTAGCAGAAAATGGTCTTACTACCTAGTTGCCCGAATGGCAATGAAACAAATGGTGAATTACGAATAAAGAGGTTTGGAGAAAACAATACTAGGAAGATATCTGAATCCTGGTGCACACTACCATTATTGCTGTTTTCCAGATTGATGCTCGTACATCTCTGCTTTCTCTTGACAGACTATTCCATCAGCAGGTAGATCAACAGGTGTGAGATTCGGAACCTTAACATTGGGCTGTGTTCATGTGAAAAGATGACAATTTTTGCTCTTGGCTCAGTGTACATATGAGTATCACAATCTCACCTTTGTTCTGGGCCCTAGCAGGACACTCTCTTCACCATATGAAGCCTTTATAGAGTATGCATGAGTGTAACAATTCTCTCTGAAACCTTAAGCAGGCACGGACCCCTCCTTGTACCTTTAGCTTTAAGCCCTGGTATGACAGTCAACATCTTTCTACTTGGATGGGTCCAAATAAGAGTTCTTAACTGCCTATGAGCTGCGTTTAAAAATGAGTCACCATCCCACCTGTGGCTGGATGTTCACATATGAAAGTCAGAATCCCAGTTGTGGACTATGTCTGCATGTGTAATTCAGGACCTCAAGAGTGGGCTCTCTCCACATGTGATAGAGACCATCCTGAATATTGGTGTGGTGTGAATCTGAGAAGTATAATCTCACCAGTGTGCTGAGCCCTTTGGTGACAATTTCTCTACCATAGTTTACACAATATGCAAGACAGTGGTACTCCTCCGTGTGACGTATCACTGGGTCTTGCACACAGGTAATGTGAGTCTCCTCTCCTGCCTTGGAATGCTCACAGGAGGCATTGGAACATACCACTGAACCTGATATTCAGGTTATGTGCCTGTCTTTCCTGTGCTCTGTCCATGGGCGTTTGTGACATATTTTTGGGTCCAAAACACAGGCAACATAGCTCTCCTGTCTGGATCCTGCCTAGAGAGGGCATGGTGGCGTATCCCTGCACCAGCCACCAGATGATGTAACTCTATCTTCTGTCTAGTCCCTGCTTACAGGGTGAATTTTGACTTATCGCTAGGCGCAGCATTTAGCTAATATGACTCTTCCCTTTTTTCAGGTTCTGCCCACGGGGAAGATTGTGACATATCGATGGGTAAAACACCAAAATGATTTTACTCTTTTGTCTTTGTTCTGTCCTTAGAAGGCATTGGGACATATTGCTGAACCAGCACCAAGGTAATGTAAGGGTCCTACCTGAACCCTGCCCACAGGGAGCATAGTGACATATCTCTGAGCCCATGAACTATTTGATGTGGCTCTATTCTCTTACCTGGACTTTGCCCATGAGAAAGACTGTGACGTATTTCTTGGTCCAGTGCTTAGGTAATGTGATTCTCCTCTCCAGCCTGAGGCATGCCCACAGAAGTAAGAGTGACATCTCTGGGCCTAGCCCACAGGTGATGTGACTCATCCCTTCTTTCTGCCCAGGGGAGTCATTGTGATGTATCTCTGAGACCATTATAAGAATGATGTGACTCTCCTGTTCTTACTGCGACCTGTCCACAGTGGGGATGATGATGTATCACTTAGGCCAGCACATATGTGGTGAGATTCTTCTCATGCCTGTGCCCTGCCCCCTGGGCTAATTGTGACATATAACTGGGCCCCTCCCATAGGTTATGCAACATATCCCTGTGATAACACTCTTTGTACCATTTAAGGGCTTTATATAATATAAGAGAGAGTGGTATTCCTCTAAGACCCTCATACAAAGAGAAGATTTAGGACCTACCGATTTTCCAAAGCCTCACTAGGAAAAACAGCATTTCTCTTAGTGGCAGGTTTGAGGTATGAGAGTCATTATTACACCTGTGAGCTGGCCAAGATATATGTTTCAATCTCTCCTGTGGGTAGGGAGTGAGCAGGAGAGTCGCATCACCTGGATGCTTGGCCAGAGATCTGTCAATATCTTCCCTGATGGCAGGGACCAGGTAGGAGAGTCACATACCTAAGGCTGGGCCAGGGATATGTAACAATCTTTTATGAGGTCGGAGGCTAGGAAGGGAGTCCCATCACTTGTGTGCTCACCCGGGATATGTTACAATCCCTTCCTGAAATCAGAGTACAAGCAGCAGAGTCAAATCACCTGAATATTGAGCTCAGTGATATGTCACCACACTCCCTGTGGGTAAAGCCGTGGCAGGAGAGACACATCACCTGATTACTGATTACTAGGCCCAGTGATATGTCAGAATCTTTCCTGTGGGCAAGGTGCAGGCAGAAAGGAGAGTCACATCATCTGGTGATGGAGGCAGAAATATGTTACAAGGCAGAAATATGCTCTGCCTCCCTGTGGGCAGAGTTCAGGCAGGAGCCCCCAATCTCCTAGGTGTTAAGTTCAGTGATATGTTACAATGCTCCCTGTGGGCAGCACAAGTCGAGAGAATAGAGCCACATCACCTAAGTTCTAGGTCCAATGATATGTCCCAATTTTATTTGTGAGATGGGCTTAAACAGGAGAGTCTACTCACTCAGGTGCTGGACAAATGTGTATGTTTGTCACAATGACACCTGCAGGAAGTTCTAGACATGGGATGAATCCCGCACATATTCTGGTTTTAGGCATGAGAGTGAACACCTTCTGTATGTTCGATCTAAGTACACAAGTCACTATCTCAATAGTGGACTAAATTTGTGCATGGCAGCCCCATTTTCTCTTGCAGACTTTCTCCCCTAATTGAAATCACGGCTTCACAGGTGTGCCGACTCATGATATGAGAGTCATCAACATATCTGTGACTCTCACATATGAGAGTCAGTTTTTCAACTTTTTTTATTGTACTTTAAGTTTTAGGGTACATGTGCATAACGTGCAGGTTTGTTACATATGTATACATGTGCCATGTTGCTGTGCTGCTCCTATTATCTCCTCATTTACATTAGGTATATCTCCTAATGTTATCCCTTCCCCCTCCCCCATCCCACAACAGGCCCCGGTGTGTGATGTTCTCCTTCCCGTGTCCAAGTGTTCTCATTGTTCACTTCCCACCTAGGAGTGAGAACATGCCATGTTTGGTTTTTTGTTCTTGCGATAGTTTGCTGAGAATGATGATTTCCAGCTTCATCCATGTCCTTACAAAGGACATGAACTCATCATTTTTTATGGTTGCATAGTATTCCATGGTGTATATGTGCCACATTTTCTTAATCCAATCTATGATTATTGGACATTTGGGTTGGTTCCAAGTCTTTGCTATTGTGAATAATGCCACAATGAACACACGTGTGCATGTGTCTTTATAGCAGCACAGCATGGTACTGGTACCAAATCAGAGTACGTGGTACTGGTACCAAATGGAGCAGAACAGAGCCCTCAGAAATAGTGCCACACATCTGCAACTATCTGATCTTTGACAAACCTGACAAAAACAAGAAATGGGGAAAGGATTCCCTATTTAATAAATGGTGCTGGGAAAACTGGCTAGCCATATGTAGAAAGCTGAAAATGGATCCCTTCCTTACACGTTACACAAAAATTAATTCAAGATGGATTAAAGACTTAAATGTTAGACCTAAAACCATAAAAACCCTAGAATAAAACCTAGGCAATACCATTCAGGACATAGGCATGGGCAAGGACTTCATGTCTAAAACACCAAAAGCAATGGTGACAAAAGCCACAATTGACAAATGGTATCTAATTAAACTAAAGAGCTTCTGCACAGAAAAAGAAACTACCATCAGAGTGAACAGGCAACCTACAGAATGGTAGAAAATTTTTTCAATCTACTCATCTGACAAAGGGCTAATACCCAGAATCTACAAAGAACTCAAACAAGTTTATAAGAAAAAAGCAAACAAACCCATCAACAAGTGGGCGAGGATATGAACAGACAGTTCTCAAAAGAAGATATCTATACAGCCAAAAGACACATAAAAAAGGCTCAGTTTTTCAACTTTTGAAACTGCCTTTGGGTATGGGATTCAGAGCCTCAAAAGTGAACTATGATCATGTGAAAGAATGACAATCTTTAATGTTGGCTGGGTGTGCCTCCCAATGTCATAATATTACTGTGTGCTGAGCCCTATTAGGAGTTTCTGTGTTGCACCTGAGGGCTTTATATGGTATGCATGACAGTCTCAATTCTTTCAGAGATTTTCATGCTGGTATGGACCCAGGATCAAACCTGTGGCCCTAAGCCTATATATGAGTCAACATCTTTACAATTGGTGGGGTCCAGATAAGAGAATCATCACCTTTCTATGCGGTGGGTTTATAACGAAGTTCCCATTCCAACTGTGGCCAGATCTTTACATATGAGATTCGCAATTCCAACTATAAACTGCATTCATGTGTGAAATTCAGGACCTCACAAGTGGGTTCTGTTTATATGTGAGGGTGAAAATCATAATGGCCAGGAGGGTGCAGGGTGCGCAGAGGAGTAACAAATTTCACCTGTGTGCTGGGCCCTGTGATAAGACTCTCTACCACCCGAGGGCTTTCTGTAATATGTGAGAGAGTGGATGATCTTAACGAGGAGACCCAGGGATTTTTTTTTTTCATTTCCCTAAGTGTCGGTAGGAGAAGCAGGATCTCTCCTATTGGCTGGTGTGACATATGAAAGTCATCATTGCACCTGTGTGTTGTGTTCCAAGATATAAGTCACAATTACACCTTCATATAGGAAGAGAGCAGGAGAGTAAAATCAGTTGGACGCTGGGCCAGGGATATGTCTCTTCCCTGAGAACAGGGACCAGGGAACAGAGACACATTACCTGAATGCTCAGGCATGGGTATGTAGCAATCCACTCCTTAAATTAGGAACCAGGCAGCAGAGTCACATCACCTGGGTGCTGGATCTAGCAATATGTTACAATCCTCTCTGTGGTCAGGATGCAGGTAGGAGAGTCACATCTCCTTGGTGATGAATGCAGAAAAACGTCACAAGTTTCTCTGTGCATAAGGTAGAGGAATAAGCCTTTTATCCCCTAAGTGTTGGGCCCAGGGATATGTCACAATACCCAAAATATGCAAACCCAGGCAAAAGAGAACAGTCACATCACCTTGGTGGTAGGGTCACTGATATGTCACAATCCCCTCTTTTGGAAGGGCCCAGATAAGAGTGGAGAGTCACATAGCCTAGGCAACGAATAGAAAGGTATGTCATAATACCCCTGTTGGCAAGACCTATGCAGAAGAGTCACATCACCTATGTGTTCAACCCAGATATATGTTACTGTACACCATGTATGCAGGGCCCAGGCAAGAGAAAAGGCCACATCACCTCGGTTCTGGGCCCAGCAATATATCACAATACCCCCTAAGAGGAGGTAACAGACAGGAGAGTCACATCACCTAGGTCTGAGGAGCAGAGCTATATGGTAATGCCCTGTGTGTGTGCACCCCAAAATAGAGGAGAGTTACATCACCTGAAGACTGTACCCAGCTATGTCACAATGACCCCTGTGGGCAGCACCCAGGCATGAGAAGAGAGCACCATCATGTAGGTGCTGTGCCAGGCTGTATTTCACAATCTCCACTATGGATAGGTTTCAGGGAGAAGAGGACCGTCACATCATCTAGTTGATGAGTCTGGAGATATGTCAAAATGAACCCTCTGAAGAGACCAGGGTGCAGAATCACATGATCTGTGTGCTGGGTCTAGGAATAACCCATTCTCCCTTCTGTAAACATGGCCACGCAGAAGATGAGGGTCACATATTTAAGGTGATGAACGCGGAAATATTTCACAAGTCTCCCTGTAGGCAAGACCCAGACAGGAGATTCCCTTCCCTCAGTTGTTGGGACCAGAAATACATCACAATGTGGGGCTCAAGCAGAAAAACTAAAGAAACATCACCTATTTTTTGAGCTCAGAATTAGTCACAATCTCTCCTATAGGCAAAGCCTTTGTTAAAAAAGAAGAGTTTTATCAAATAGTTGATGGGCTCAGAGATATGTCCCAATGCCATATGTTACAAATTGCTGTACGCAGGCTTCAGGCAGGAGATGGGCCTAATAATGTGTCACAGTGCTTTCTGCTTGCAGGGCAAAGTCAACAGAGTAATGTCACCTCGAAGTTGGACCCACCAATGTATCACAATCTCCTTCCAAACAAATCCTATAAAACAAAAGAAGAGTAACATGAGGTAGGTGCTGGGCACAGTGATATGTCACAATCCTTTCTTTAAGCAGGGACTAGGCAGGAGAAGAAAATCACACCACATGGGTGATGGGCACATAGATATTTCACAATGTCCCCTTAGGCAAAGCTCAGGAAGGAGAGGTAGATCATCTAGGTTTTGGATGCAACAGTATGTCACAATGGCCATTGTGGCCTGGGCACCGGCAGAAGAGTCACATAACATGGATGTGAGACCCAGCAATACATCACAACGCCCCGGTGAGTAGCACTAATGCAAGACAGAAAACTTACATTACCTAGGTGCAAGGCCAAGTGATATGTCCCAATGTCCCCTGTGGGCATCACCAAGGCAGGAGGTAAGAGTCACATAACCTAGGTGCTGGCTTCAGTGATATATCAGAATCCCATCTGTGAGCTGGGCACAGGAAACAGAGCTAAAATACTCGGGAGCTGGGCAGAGATGTATGTCACAATCCCACCTGCAGAAAGCGACAGGGATGAGATGAACAACTCCACACATGTCCGGATTCCAGGTATGAGAATTTGCATGTTGGGCCTAAGTACACCAGTCTCAATCTCAACAGTGAACTGGATTCATAAATGTGTCTTCTCTGGCTGACCGCGTCCCCTTAGGAGAGTTACAGTCTCACAGATGTAATGAATTTTGGTTTGAGAGTCACCCACCTACCTGTGGACAAGATCCATATATGAGAGTCAATTTTCTTTTTTTTCTTTCTCTTTCTTTCTTTCTTTCTTTCTTTCTTTCTTTCTTTCTTTCTTTCTTTCTTTCTTTCTTTTTTTCTTTTCTTTCTCCCTTTCTTTTCCTTCCTTCCTTCTTTCTCTTTTTCTTTCTTTCTCTTTTTCTTTCTTTCTTTCTTTCTTTCTTTCTTTCTTTCTTTCTTTCTTCTTTGCTTTCTTTTTTTTTTTTTCTCCCTTGAGATGGAGTCTCACTCTATTGCCACGCTGGAGTGCAGTGGGACGATCTCGGTTCTCTGCAACCTCTGCCTCCTGGGTTCAAGCGACTCTCCTGCCTCAGCTTCCTGAGTAGCTGGGATTGCAGGTACATGCCACCATGCCCAGCTAATTTTTGTATTTTTAGTAGAGATGGGGTTGCCAGGCACAGTGTTCCATGCCCGTAATCCCAGAACTTTGAGAGGTCGAAGTGGGTGGATCACTTGAAGTCAGGAGTTTGACACCAGTCTAATCAATATGGTGAAACCCCGTCTCTACCAAAAATATAAAAATTAACTGGGCATGGTGACATGAGCCTGTAGTCCCAGCTACTCGGGAAGCTGAGACAAGAGAATTGTTTGAACCTGGGAGGCGGAGGTTACAGTAAGACTAGATGGTGCCACTGCACTCCAGTCTGGGTGACAGAGCAAGATTCTGTCTCAAAATAATAATAATAAATAAATAGTAGAGAGGCGGGGTTTCACCACGTTGGCCAGGATGGTCTTGATCTCCTGACCTCGTGATCCACCCGCCTCGGCCTCCCAAAGTGCTGCGATTACAGGCCTGATCCACCGCACCCGGCCGGTTGTGCTCATTTTTGAGGATAACTTTTATTGTCACCAGAGTGTGCATGAGTGTTAGAATCTCACCTGTTTGCTGGGCCCTGTTAGGACACTATGTACCTCCTATGGGCTTTGTAGAGTATGCATTAAACATAATACACTCTGAGGTCTTCATGCTGATATGAACCTATGATCATACCTGTGGCCATAAGCCCAGGTATGAGAGTCAACATCTCTCCAGCTGGCTGGATCCAGATAAGAGGATCTTTACTTGGCTGTAAACTGGGTTCAGAAATAAGTCACTACCCCAACTGTGACTGGATGTTCACATGTGATAGTTACAATTCCAGCTGTGGACGGCACTCAGGTATGAGATTTAGACCTCCCTAATCACCTCTGTTCCTGTGTAGGAATGACAATTCTGATGATTGGTGGGTGTGCACACAGAGAACACAATCTCACCTGTGTTCTGGGCCCTGTGATGACACTGTACCATCTGAGTGCTTTACAGGATATGCAAGAGTGCTTATTTTCTCTGACCTTCATAGTAAGAGAAGACCCATAATTTTGCACATTTTGTAAAGCCTGGATATGAGACAAAGTATCTCTCCTATTGGTTGGTTTAAGGTATGAATGTCATCATCACACCTACATGCTAGGCCAAAATATATGTGACAATCTCACATTTGAGTAGTCAGCAAGCAGGAGGGTCTCATCACCTGGGTCATTGTCAGGGATATGTCACATTCTCCCCTGAGGACAGGGACAAGGCAAGAAAGTCACATCCCTAGGTATTCTGCCAGGGATATGTTCTTGTTCCCTCCTGAAAGCATGACACATGCAGCAGAGTCACCTCACCTGGGTTCTGGGTCCAGCGATATGTCACAATTTTCCCTGTGAGCAAGGCACAGGCAGGAGAAACACATCACCTGTTTGCTGGGCCCAGAAATATGCTACAGTTTTTCTTGTGAGCAGGGCTCAGGCAGAAATGGGGGAATCACATTTTCTAGGTGATAAATGCAGAGCTATGTCACAAGGTCCCCAGTAGTCAGGGCCTTGGCAGAAGATTCCTATTGTCTAGGCGATTGGCCCAGTGATACAACACAATAGCTAAATTATGCAGGGCCCAAGGCAAAGAGGAGAGTTGCATCACCTAAGTGATGAACAAAAAGATATGTCATAATACCCAGGTGGAAATGGGCCATGCAGGTAAGTCACACTACCTAGGTGTTGGACCCAGTGATATGTCACAATACACAATATATGCAGGGCCCAGCCAAGAGGGGAGAGTCAAATCACCCAGGTGCTGGGCCCGATGATACATTGTAATCTGTCTTTGGTCAGAGCCCTAGCAGTAGAAGAAACTCACATCACCTCCATGCTGAGGTCAGCCATATGTCACAATAACCCTGAGAAATGAGCCCAGGAAAAGAGTCACATCATTTAAGTGAGAGGCCCATAGATATTTTCAATTCCTCCTGTGGGTAGTCCTCAGTAAAAAGACAGTCACATTAGTTAGAGTCTGTCCCCAGCGATGTGTAAGAATCCCAGCTGTGAACAGGCACCAGACAGGACAAGAGAGTCCCATCACCTGGGTGAACAGTGCACAGATATGTCACAATGACCCCATGTAGGTAAAGTCTAGACAAGAGTTACATCACCTGGGTGTTGGACCCAGCAATATGTCACAATGGCTCATGTGGGCAAAGCACAGGACACAGTCATATAACAAAGTGCCAGGACCAGTGTTAGGTCAGGATACCCTTTATGGGCAGTGCCAAGACAGGAGATTAGAAGCATATTAATTAGATGCTGGATTCAAGGATATATCACAATCTCATCTGTGGGCTACACCCAGGCAAAAAAGTCAAATCACTCAGGAGCTGGCTAGAGGTGTACGTCAGAATCACACCTGCAGGAAGGTCCATGGATGAGATTAACAATCCCTCATAAGTGCCAGTTCTGGATATGAGAGTGAACGCCTCCTGTATGTTGTATCTATGTGCATAAGTCACAATCTCAATGGAGGAATGGGTTTTTTCCATGAGAGCCTTAATCCCTTTTGAAAACTGAGTTATCTTAGTGGACTCACAGCCTCACAAGTGTTTTGGATCTTGGTCAGGGAGTCACAAACCCACTTAAGGACAACATCCACTTATTAGAGCCAATTTTCCAACTTTTGACTGCCTCTGGGTGTGAGTTTCAGAACCTCAATTATGGTCCATGTTCGTGTGGGAGAATGACAATTTTGACAGATGGCTGGGCTCAGGCAGGAGCCTTTCATCCTGCAGGTGTTGAGACAAAGGATATGATACAACACCTAAAATATGCTGGGTGCAGGCAAAAGAGGAGACTCATATTAGCTGGTTGCTAGGTCCAGTTATATGTCACCACCTCCCTTTTTGGCAGGGCTAAGGAAAAAGAGGAGAGTCAGAGCTAAAGAAATGTCATAATGTCCCTGCGGGTAGGGCCTATGCATGAGAGTTGCAACACCTAGTCATTGAACCCAGCCATATATTATAATACACAATGTATACAAGGCCCAGGCAAGAAAGGAGAGAATATCACATAGGTACTGTGTCCAGCAATATGTCACCATACCCCCCAGAGGGGAGGCTCCAGGCAACAGGATAACATTACCTAAGTGAAGTGCCCAGAGAGATGTTTCAATGACCCTGGTGGGTAGGATTTTGAAAAAAGAGAAGTTACAGAACCTAGGGGCTAGGCCTAGCTATGTATCACATTCATCTCCAAGATGGAGCCCAGATATGGGAGAAAAGTCACATGATGTAGGTACTGGGCAAAGTAATATGTCACAATCCTTATGTGAGCCGGCCATAGGAAGAAGTAGAGAGTCACATAGTCTAGATGATGGGCCCAGAGGCATTTGACAATGACTCCTGTAGGTAGGGACCAGGCAGAAGAATCACATCACCCCTGTGCTGTTCCCAGTTATAAGTCACACTTCCTTCTGTGGGCATGCCCCAGGCAAGGAGAGGAGTCACATCATCCCGGTGCTAGACCCAGGGTTATGTCACAATCTGTCTTATGGGCAATGCTCAGGTAAGAGAGGAGAGTTGCATCAAATAGATGATGGACCCAGAGGTATGTCACGATGCCTTCTGTGAACTCGATCCAGGCAGAAGATTCACATCATCAACTTGGTGCTAAGCCCAGCAACGTCTCACAATCCCTTCTGTGTAAAGGGACCAGGCAGGAGAAGAGAATCACATTACCAGGCTGATGAGCACAGAGATATGTCACAATGCCCCTGTAAGGCAGGGCCCAGGCTGTTGGGTTACATAACCTGAGTAGTGGACCCAGCAATATAACACAGTGTCCCATATGGGCAGTGCACAAGCCGGAGAGTCACATAACCTGGATGCGAGGCCAAGCTATATATAGCAACGCTTCCTGAGGGCAGCGCCAAGGCAGAAGAGGAGACTCACATCTCCGGGTGCAAGGTCTAGCGATATGTCAAAATGCTCACTGTGGGCAGTGCCAAGGAAGGAGAATAGAGTTACACCCTCAATGTGCTGGATCCAGCAATATGTTAATATCCCATCTGTGGGCTGGGTCCATGTGAGACCATCAAGTCACTCAGGTGCTAGGCACCGGCAAATTTCACCATGAAAGCTGCAGAATGGTCCAGGAATTAGATTAACAATCCCACAACTGTCTCAGTTGTAGGCATGACATTCAACACCTCCTGTATGTTGGGTCTAAGCTCACGAATAACCCTCTCAACACCAGACTGGATTTGTGCATGAGAGTCTCAATTCCTCTGCAGACTGACCTGTGTTCCCGTGAGAGGATGACAATAGTTACTGTTGGCTGGGTGTGCATATGAGTGTCACAATCTCACCTGTGTGCTCGGCCCAGTTAGCACGCTCTGTGTACTACCCAATGGCCCTATACACTATGCATGAGAGTCGTAATCAACTTTGACACCTTCCTAATGGTAGGGACCCATGATCGTACTTGTAGCATTAAGCCCGGTATGAGAGTCAACATCATTACAATTAACTAGGTCAGGATAGGAGAGTCCTCCCTTGCCTATGAGCTGAGTTTAGATGTGGGCCACCATTTCAACTCTGGTTGAATGTTTATATATGAACACAGGCCTAACACCGAGGTGATGTGAGTCTTTGGCCTAGACACTTCAAGCAGGAGGCAAAGTGACATATCTCTGGGTCTATCAACTATTTGATGTGACCTTCCTTTTTTACCTGAGCTTTCCCCATAAAAGAGATGTGACGTATGTCTAGACAAAGCACCTGGGTGATGTGACTCTCCTTTATTGACTGAGCCCTGTGTATTTTGGGTATTCTGACGTATCCCTGGACCTAACTTCTGGAAGATAAGAAGATCCAACATGGGCCCTGCCTAAAAAGTTTCTTGTGACAAATTTCTACATGAATCACCTTGGAGATTTGACTCTCCTCTCTTACCCGAGTTTTGCCCATAAGAGAGATTGTTACGTACCTCTGCAGCAAGCACCTAAATGCTGTGGCTCTTCTTTCTTGCCCGGGTCATGCCCACAGATGAAAGAGTGGCTTATCGCTGTGTCCAGCACACCGGTTATGTGATTATGCTGCCTGATCTCTGCTCACAGGAGCCATTGTGACATATCCCTGGGGCCAGAAACTATTTAACACGATATCTTCAATGACCTTAACTTGTTGCCTGGGATAAGTTGTGACATATCTCTGGATCCAGCACCTAGGTGATGCGACTCTCCTTTTCTGCATGGGCTATGCTTACAAGAAGGAGGCTGACTTATTGCTGTGTTGACAACTGATGTGATACCTCTGTTCTTGTCTTCTTAGTTTTTAAGAATTTAAACAAGAGACACAAGGAAAAAAAGTACAGCATAATTTATTGGAAAAGAAAATACTTGAAAATTAAGTGCAGATTACAGTACACCCTGAGAGAGATACTCCAGGGCGGGCTGCTCGTAAGAGTGAGACAGCGTGGACTGTCGCTGGAGAAACCCCTTTACGGGAGTTTTACATTATTATTAATAAGGTGGAGGGAAGAGGAGTTGCTTATAAGCATGTTCTGAGTGATATTCTGGGTGCACATACGCAGTGACTATACATGCTTGTTCATATGTTGCATGTCTCGTTAGCATCTTAGATCTCCACCCAGGAGTGTATTTCTGTTTGTTTGTTTGTTTGTTTGTTTGAGACAGAGTCTCCCCGTGTTGCCCAGGCTGGAGTGCAGTGGTGTGATCTCTGCTCACTGCAACCTCCGCCTCCTGAGTTCAAGCCATGCTCATGCCTCTGCCTCCAGAGTATCTGGGATTACAGGCATGCACCACCATACCCTGCTAATTTTTGTATTTTTAGTTGAGACGAGATTTCACTATGTTGGCCAGTCTAGTCTCAAGCTTCTGGTTTGAAGTGATCCATCTTCCTCAGCCTCCCAAAGTGCTAGGAGTACAGTTATGAGCCACCTTGCCTGGCTAGGGCCTATATTTTTTGCTATTAAAATAAGCGAAAGTTAAGTTTGAGGACAGGTGAAATCAAAATGCACATGCTTTCTAGAACAGAAAGTCCTTAATGAGGATAACTTTGCTTGAATAAGCCCAATTACAATGCGAATGCTACGGCTTATTGTGTTGGCTGTACAGTCACCATGGTTTCTGTATCCTGAGATCATGGTCATTTTCTGTACTATCTATTCTGCCTCAATTTCCCCCTAAGAGATTTTAGGGCAATAATCATATTGGAGGTTGAGGGGTTAGGCCATTATTTCTGGAGCTGTTTCCTGCTGAGTGGGTGTTACTTCTGCCTAGCCTGGGCCTTAAAGTTTCTTCCTGTGTGATCTAACAGGGTGTAAACCATGTCGTTCGTGGAACCAGTGGGAAGATGTTGGCAACCAAAGGTTGAAAGCCTTGCAAAACCATCATGCAAACATGGAGTTGCCGTAAGCAAGAGAGCAAGAAATCAGTTAACATTTTAAACAAAATTGGAACAAAACTAAAAGCTGAAAATATAATAATGACTGGTACTATTAAAGAGAGCAAGGCAGACAATGGACATCGCTTTCATGTTCCCATGGAAGTTCCTAGAGATTCAATTTTGTCTGCCTGGGTGATGATATTATTAATATTTTCTTCAACTAAACCAGACTGATTGATCTCAAAAACAGCATTCTTCTTTTAGATATAAACATGTTCCTCTTTACCCGGCTGGGAGAAGATCCCAGGCTCCTTGGTTTTGTCGGACTACAGTGGCCATGGAGTCCAGATGTTGTTGAAGTCTATTGAGGCCCTCTGCTGCTTGTTGGGGACCCATTGAGTTTTCCTGAGATAGTTTCTATTGGATTCCCGAGGCTCCACCTTATGGTGACATTTGTGCTGCAAAGGAATTCTGCATTGAAATGGTGAAAGCAGCAAAAGTTTTAAGTCTTTTCTATTTTTTGCCAATAAGCAAAAGTTTTCTGCAGCTACGTGGTCAGCAGTCATTGGGTCCATTTATGGATGGTGAAGTTGAATGGCGGTCAAAGTTAGAGCCTGGAAGGCTTCAGTAAATGCGCTGAAGTTCTTTGGGAGCCATCAGAGCTGTTGCTTGCATTGGATTAGATCATTTATTGAGAAGAGAACAAGCACTCTGATGGTCCTCTCTCCATTTGGGACTTTCTGTAAGGGGATCAAATTCTCTGGCCCTGCATGGGGTGAAGTTCCACCGCGAGTAACTACAGCTGGGCTGGTCACTATTATACCTGGCAAAGGCTGATAGAGAGGAGCATAAGGAGGAGGTGAAACAAGCTTAGATTCTACAGAAGACTCTGATAGTGTGGGGATGCTGCGGATTCTACAGGAGGTGTAGGCCCCTGAGGGTCCCTATCTGGAGCTGGTGTTGGGCTGTTGGGTCTGGGGTCCCTTCCCCTTAATAAGAGATGATCTTCTAATGCTTCTGAGGGGCTTTGTGGCTTACTAGGCTTTAGCCCACAGGTGCTGCATAGAGCTGGGTTTTGTTGTCAGGCCATAAAGGTTTGCACATAGGATATTTCAGACCATTTTCCCTGATTTCTACAGAAAATATCTAGCTGTAGGAGGGTGTTAAAGTTCACAGTCTCATTCCCCAGCCATGTTTTGTGAGCTAATCTGTATGCAAGCAAAATAGTATTACAAAAGAAGATAAGTTTTTTCTTTTCTTTTTTTTTTTTGGTTCATCTAGCCAAAAGCTGTTTCAATTTTTAAATATACATCCCAGGGGTGTTTCAATGACAGTAGAGGAAGCGGCTCCCATGGTGCCGACAGGATCTTGCAACGTCAGAATATGTACTAAAGTCCAGGAGGCCATGGGCATCACAATGGGACAAGTGGAACCACCAAGGTGTCCAGCACAGCCCCTCGAGACCCCATTAACTGAAGCTCTAGGAGGTCATAGGCATGTGCCATACACCGTCCTATCTCTCACCAGCGCTGCACATCTCCAGCCCTGCCGAGATGACCCCCACTGCTGGCTGGGGGGCAGATGTCTGGCTGACAAGCCTTTCCCTAATTTACTGGTTTGCAATTTATGATGCCGAATTATAACACCTGCAATGCTCAGATTCAAACCCCACGACCGGGCATCTACATGACTTTGAGTCGTTTGTTCAGCAAAGAAAACCTGTTGAAGAACAATTTCAAGGAGGTGGGAAATGCATAAAGCCTGAAGGGACAGGGTTCTCTTAATATTCCACTCAAAACAAAACAAGACAAAACTGTAAACAGAAAACCCGATCAGAAAATAAAGTACAATAGCCACTAGGTGGCGATCGAGTATTGCCGAAGGGACAGCAAACGATAAGCTGAGTCTGAAGTGTGGCCAGAAAGATGTGAAACTAAGCAGCAAACTAGCCCGAATATGAAATGTTGAGAGCAACCCATGCGGTGAGTGTCATTTATGGATAGTACAGATGCAGCAGCCAAAAGGAGAGCAGACATATATTCTCTCTCTAGAGAATATAGGTGATTTAAACACGTTTCCCCCAGAACTTTAGTGAAACAGCGCTGGAACAACCAGCGATAGTTAACCAGGTAGTCTGGAAGTGCCATAGTATTCACTGCAAGAAAAGGGAAACTGAAATTAATGAAGCAGACAAACCTCTCTCCGGGCCATGGCAAAAGAAATGTTGATGGCTGATGTAATACCTTGGTTCTTATCTTCTTAGCTTAAAAGAATTTAAACAGGAAACATGCAGCAAAAGAAGTACAGCATAGAGTAATTTATTGCACACAAAAAAGAAAAGAATACGTTGAAAATCAAGTGCAGAATAGACGGTACAGTCTGAGAAAGAGATTCCAGG
The DNA here is from genome assembly GCF_000001405.40 of Homo sapiens. Taxonomy (NCBI): domain Eukaryota; kingdom Metazoa; phylum Chordata; class Mammalia; order Primates; family Hominidae; genus Homo; species Homo sapiens. The sequence continues at coordinate 100,075 of NW_021160013.1, forward strand.
GCAGCCTGCTCATAAGAGTGAGACAGCATTAATTGTTGCTGGAGAAACCCTCCTTCTGGGAGTTTTACATGATTATTCATAAGAAGGTGGAAAGAAGTGTTATAGAAGGCATGCTTTGAGTGGTCTTCTGGGTGCACATGTGCAGTAGCTGTACATATTTTTGCATATGTTTCATGTCTCATTAGCATGCAATGACATTTCACCCAGGAATGTGTTTTTACTTGTTAAAATGAGCAAAGGTTCAGCTTGAAGACAGATAAAATCAAAATGCACATGCTCTCTAGACGTAAAAGTCCCTACTGAAGATAGTGGGTTTCAAACGACCCCAAGTGCTCCACAACTTAAAAGTCGCTCCCACGAACCTGGAACACTATCTGTTCCTGAGGGATCAGGTCCCATTTGTGTCTCTGAGACACTGGCAAGTGAGGCACGACTTGGGATGAGACCGATGATTTTAATTGTAAAATGCCTAAATAGTCAGCAGCTTCAGGTTACATTTTGGAGCTTGTCCACTTAAATGGGTTGATGAAAATGGCTCACAAAACTCACGCCTTGGAAAGCGGGTTTTCTCCCTTGCTCTTAGATTTTCTGCAACCCATTAAACTAACTTCCTGATGCCTCGACTTTCACATTCGTGAAAAAGGCGCCATTGAGAGTGACGTTTCCAGGAAGGCTCAGCCCTTGTCAGCCCCTGCAGAGCTCTGAAGCTGTTCACAAGCAGGCCATGTGGAAGATTTCTCTCAAAAGCCATTGAGCACGCGCTCTGGCTAGAGAAAAAAGAGGGCTGCTGCACAATGGACAGTGTCTCAGACATCAGGACAGTTTCCACAGTAGTTTAGGAAAAAAGGCAGTGCCCTGAGCTGCAGAAGGTGCAATGCTCTGGAAGGAACCCTGGGTGCAGCTGAAAGAGGAACCTGAGAAGCATAGGGCCAATCGGGTGAGGATAACCCGCCTGATTTGGGCAAAGGTAAGGTGCCTACATAGGGTAATACCCTCCTCAATGCTCAGCCCAGACCTGTCCTCCAGGTCCACCTCTGTACTCACTCTCTGTGGCAAAGAGTCGGCATAGCATAAGAACTCAGCAATGCTTTGGACACTGGGAAGTCCACACCGCTCTGTCCCTCCCTCCAGGTCTATGCACCCCGGATCCCGGTATATGCTGAGATTATGGTTCTGAAGCCCACCGACAAATAGGCTGAGAGCAGTTAACGGACTACAGCTCCCAGCATATTAGGTGGGGCATGTACAACTTTGCCCCTTCTTCCAGGGCTATGCCTTACCCCGGAGACTGGCGCATGCTGGGATTGTAGTCCTGTAGCCATTTGACCAAAGGGCTGTTAGTGTTTATGAGAATACAACTCCCAGCAATCCTAGGGAGGAGCACACAGCCCCGCCTCTTCCCCCAGTGATACGCATTGTCCCTGAGACAGGTGCATGCTAAGATTGTAGTCCTGAAGCTCTGCGACCAAAGGGCTGGGAGTGTTTATGAGCATATATCTCCCAGCAAGCCTAGGAAGACGCACACAGCCCCGCCTCTTTTTCCACTGACGCGGACTGTCCCTGACCCCAGTGCATACTGGGATGGTAGTCCTGCATCCCTGTGATGAAAGTTCTGGGAGTCTCTATGAAACTACCTCTCCCAGGAAGCAGAAGGAGGGGTCCACAGCCTAGCCTTTTCCTCCAGTAATGCGCACTGTCCCTGAGCTGGGTGCATGCTGGGATTGTAGTCCTGCAGCCCGGTGATGAAAGGTCTGGGAGTGTTTATGAGACTACATCTCCTACCAAGCCCAGGAGGTGCACACAACCCTGCCTCTTTCTCCAGTGACGCCAACTTTCCCTGAGCCCGGTGCATGCTAGGATTGTAGCGCTGCAGCCCTGTGACAAAAGGGCTGTGAGTGTTTATGAGACTGCATCTTCCACCAAGCCCAGAGAGGCGTGCAGAGCCTCGCCCCTTCCTCCACTGATTAGCGCATGCTCCCTCAGTCCCATGCATGCTAGGATTGTAGTGCTGCAGCCCTGTGACCAAAGGGCAGCCCAGTGACCAAAGGGCTAAGAGTGTGTGAGAATACATCTCCGAAAAAGCATAGCGAGAAGAGCACAGGTCCACTTCTTCCTCCACTGAGGCGCGCTCTCCCTGAGCACGGTGCATGCTGGGATTGTAGTCCTGAAGCCCTGTGACAAAAGGGCTGGGAGAAATAATGAGACTACATCTCCCAGAAAGCCCAGCGAGACGCATGTACCCCTTTCTCTTCCTCCATTGAGGCGAACTGTCCCGGTGCCCCGTGCATGCTGGAATTGTAGTCCTACAGCTATGTGATGAAAGGGCTGGGATTGGTTATCAGAATGCATCTCCCAGCAAGCCCAGCGAGGCACGCACAGCTCCACGTCTTCCTCCAGGGACACACACACACACACACACACACACACACACACACACACAGTCCCTGAACTCGCTGCATGCTGGGATTGTAGTCCTGCAGCCCTGTGACCAAAGGGCCAAGAGTGTTTATGAGACTACATCTCCCAGAAAACGTAGGGAGAGGCACACAGCCCCACATCTTTTCCCAGTGACGCATACTGTTTTTGATCCTGATACATACTGGGATTGTAGTCCTGCAGCCCTATGACAAAAGGTCTGAGAGGCTTTATGAAACTACATTTCCCAAGAAGCGCAGCGAGGTGCGCAGAACCTTCCCATCCTTATCCAGTGAAGGGGAATGTCCGTGAGCCCCAAGCATGCTGGGATTGTAGTCTTATAGCACTGTGAGCCAAGGGTAGGGAGAGGACACGAGACTACATCTCCGAGAAAACCTAGGGAGACGCACACAGCCCCACATCTTTTCCCAGTGACGCATGCTGTTTTTGATCCTGATGCATTCTGGGATTGGAGTCCTGCAGTCCCGTGACAAAAGGTCTCAGAGTCTTTATGAAACTACATTTCCTAGCAAGTGCAGCGAGGTGCACACAACCTTCCCCTCATTCTCCAGTGATGTAGACTGTCCGTGAGCCCCAAGCATGCTGGGATTGTAGTCTTATAGCACCGTGACCAAAGGACAGGGAGAGGCCATGAGACTACAACTCTCAGGAAACCCAGCAAGGCGCACACTGCCCGGCCTCTTTCTCCTTAGACTAGCGCACTGTCACTGAGCTGGGTGCATACTAGGAATGTATTCCTGCAGCCCTGTGAGCAAAGAGCTGGGAGTGTTTATGAGAATACATCTCCCAGTACTCCCAGGAGGTGCACACAGCCCTGCCTCTTCCTGCAGTGACTAGCGCACTGTCCCTGAGCTGGGTGCATGCTGGGATTGCAGTCCTTGGCGATCTATGACCAAAGGGCTAGGAGTGTTAATGAGACTACATCTCCCAAAAAAGCAGAGTGAGAAGCGCACAGCCCTCCCTCTTCCTCCAGTGACGTGTGCTGTCCCTGAGCCCAGTGCATGCTGGGGCTGGAAGTGTAGTCCTTCAGCCCTGTGACGATAGGGCTGCGAGGATTTATGAGAATACATCTCCCAGCAAGCCCAGCGAGTAACAAACAACCCCGCCTCTTCCTCCAGTGACGCGCAATTTCCTTGAGCCCGGTGCTGGCTGGGAGTGTAGTCCTGCAGCCCTGTGACCAAAGGTTTGGGAGTATTTATGAGAATACATATCCCACCAAGCCCAGCGAGACGTGTACAATCCCTCCTCATCCTCCAGTAACGCGCACTATCCTTGATCTTGGTGCATACTGGGATTGTAGTTCTGCGGCCCTGTAATGAAAGGTCTGGTGACTTTATGAAACTACATCTCCCAGCAAGCCAAAGGAGGCACACAAAGCTTTGCCTCTTCATCCAGGCACACGCACTATCCCTGATCCCGGTGCATGATGGAAATGTAGTCCTTCAGCCCTGTGACCAAAGGGCTGGGAGTGTTTATGAGACCGCATCTCTCAGCAACTAAAGCAAGGCCTGCACAGCCCCGCCTTTTCCTCCAGTGACGCTCACTGTTCACTAAGGAGTGTTCATGAGATTACATTTTCCAGCAAGCCCAGCGAGTTATGCACAGCTCTACCTCTTCTTCTAGCGACGCGCACTGTCCCTGATTCCGTTGTATGCTGGGATTGTGGTGCTGCAGCCCTGTGACAAAGGGGCTGGGAGTCTTTATAAGACTACATCTCCCAGCAAGCCCAAGAGGCTCTCACAGCCATGCACCACCCCCTCCCGCCCCACTTTTCCTTCAGTGACGCGCACTGTTCCCTGAACATGGTGCATACTGGAATTCTCCTGTTGCGGGATTCAGGAGGACGAGACAGACCTCAGGTTGAAACAGGAGAATCTTTATTGAGTGCACTCAGGACCAGCTGACTCACGTCAAAAAGACCGGGCCCGGAACACAGACAACACCTGACTTTTATACACACTTCACAAAAGGGGGTGGGCTAGCTTGAAGCGAGCTTACAGTGGCGTGAAAGCAGGAATACAGAGGCAGGACAAAGACAGGATTGCACATGACCGTTGCCAAGCAACCCACATGTCCATTATCTAGGTTTCCCTGGGCATGGGCTTATCCTATAACCCTCACTATGGTTCCCAAACAGCTGTAGTTCAGCCTACTCAGGCTTCTCATGACTTTCATTGTACTTCTTCGATAAAACACAATACTTGAAGTCACTAGTTACAGAGAACAAGAATCTATAAACTCATTCCATAAAACAAAGGGAATTTGTTTTTCTTTTCCCTGTGTTGGGGGAGTGTTGGGAGAACCTCCAGAGCACATTACATAATATTATCAAGAATTTTCCTGGGTCTGGGCTGTGCCTATTGCTGCCTCTGGGACAAATCAGCCTAATACAAGAAAACTTATTTCTCTTTCCTTTTAATTTCATTTTTCTTTAATTTCCTTCCTTAGTCCTGCAGCCCTGTGACCAAAGGACTGGGAGTGCACAGTTACACATCTGTTCACTTGTCATGAGACTGTTTTCCTTTAACCCCATGAACATACTTACCATAGCTTCTTTCAAATCTTACCTACCGATTACAGCATCTTGCACATCTTGAGAATAGGTTCTATTGTCTGCTTTTTATCTTGTGAATCGATTACATTTTCATCCTTCTTCACGCATCTCATAAATTTTTAAATTGTGTGATAGGAATTACAGGGACTCTGGCTTCTGTTGTATTTCTTTGAAAATTATTATTTTATGAGGGAGTTAATTTGAATAGATGCAAACCCCAATCCTTATCTCTTCTACAGTGGCAATACTAAAATCTTCATTCAGTTCTTCTAAACAGTGTGCGTTTCTATATAGCAAAATATAGTATTTTATTAAACTTTATTATAGTATATGTGAAACAGTTATTGAACAATCTACTCTACTTCATTATTACTGGAAGCCAGAACCTCAGTTGTGTTCACTTTCTGGATTTTATATAAGTGAAATTGTACAACATGTATACTTTTACATCTACTTTCTTCTATGCAACTTTATATTTATGATATTAATTCATCCTACTGCAGATAGCTATAGTTTGTTTATTTAAAAAATATTTTTTATATTGTGGCAAAGTATACATAAAATTAACCATTTTAGCTATTTTAAGTGTGCAGCTCAGAAAAATTAACTACACTCACATTGTTTTGCAACTATTATTCTCATTCATAGGGACCTTCTTTCAACTTCCAAAACCAAAATTTAATGCACATTAAATAACAGCTCCCTGTTACTCCCCCTCCAGCTCCTAGGAACCACTCTTCTACTTGGATTTCTAGAATTTAACTACTCTAAGTATCTCATAAGTGGAATGATACAGTATTTGTCCTTTTATGACTGGCTTATGTCACTTTGCACAATGTCCTTAAGGTTCATGCATAACGTACCATGTGTCAGAATTTTCTTATTTTACATAACTGAATAACGTTCCAATATATGTATAAATCACATTTTATTTATTTATTCATTGATGATAATTCAAACAACACGGGTAATTCACAAACCTTTTGGGTGATGTGAGTAATGCTGCCATGAGCCTAGGTGTACGTGTATTATTTTGTGTCTTTGCTTTCACATCTTTTGCTACATACCCAGATGTGAAATTGTGGGATCATATGGTGACTTTTGGTGTACATTTTTTAGTTATTATACTGTTATTTTATAGCAGCTGCAACATTTTACATTTCCAACAACAGTGTACAAGGGTTCTAATTGCTCCACGTCCTCACCAACACTTGTGATTTTCTGTTTTGTTTTGTTTCTTTTGGTAGTAACTATGCTGATGTGTATTAAGTGATATATCATTTGGAGTTATATTTGCATTTTACTAATGATTAGTTTTGTTGAGCACCTTTTCATGGACTTATTAGCCATTTCACATAATTTTTAAAGAAATGTCTAAGTATTTTGCCCATATTTTAAACAAGTATTTTGTTTTATTATTGCTGAATTGTTCTTTGTATATTCTGGATAGAGTCCTCTTTATTTTTCTTTTGTTTCTTGCATTTTTTGTGTCCTGTTAAAAAAAATCACTGCGAAATCCAGCGTTATGACATGTTTTACCTACATTTTATACTAAGAATTTTGTAGTTTTAGCTCTTACATTTAGGTTTTTGTCGAGTTAGTTAATTTTTTCTTATGGTATAAGTTAAGGGAACAGTTTCACTCTTTTACATGTAGGTACCCAATTTCCCCAGCACTAACTGTTGTAAAGGCAGTTCATTTCCCATAAAAATCATTTGACCATATATATGAGGGTTTATTTATATTGGCTTTCTATATTACTCCATTAGTCTATTTGTAGCATGCTATTTTGGAATTTTGTAGTAAGTTTTGAAATCATTAAGTGTGACTTCTCTAACTTTGGTATTTTTTTTTCAAAATTATTTTTGCAATTTAGGTTCCCTTGAGATTCCTCATAAACTTAAAAATTGATTTTTTAATATCTACACAAAATAATTGGCATTTTGCTTCTTGGTTACTTCCTAATTTTATTCTTTTGATGCTATTGTAAATTGAGTTATTTTCATAATTTTCTTCTCAGATCATTCGTATTACTACATAAAATACAGTTTATTTTTCTATGTTGATTTTGTATGCTACTACTCTGCTGAATTTATTAATTTTAATATTTTTTGTGTGGAATCTTTAAGATTTTCTACATAAAAGAATATATTTTCTGTACACACTTTGATGAAGTTTATTTCATTGTCTTTTTTAATTTCTCTGAATGAAACTTCTAATACAGTGTTGAATAAAAGTGGCTGGCAAGAGCAGACATTCTGTCTTCTGAGCTTAGACGAAATAATTTTGGTCTTTTCCTCTAGAACATGTAGTTTGCTGTGGGTTTTTATACGTGAATTTTACAAAGATGGTTTTCTTTTATTCGTAATTTATTGTTTTTATTATAAAATATTTTGAATTTTGTAAAATACATTTTCTGTATTAATGAGATAATGTTTTCTAAAAATTTTGTTAATGTGTCATATGCATTGATTATTTTTCATATGCTAAAACTTTTGTTAAGAAAGGCTAGCTAAGTGAACCAGTGAGACTGGAAAAAGAATAAAGAAATCTATTCTGGTTGTGATCAATTAGTTGTAAACACCATTGCACTGAAACCAGCCATACACTAAATCTTCCTTACATTCCAGTAATAAATTCCCCTTGGTCATGGGGTGTAATCTTGCTAGTATGCTGCTGAATGTGGTTAGCTAGGATGTTGCTGAGTAGTTTTGCATCCGTGTTCATAAGGGATATTAGTCTATGGGTTTTTGTAGTCTCTTTGTCTGGCTTTGGTATGAGCTAATGCTGGCATCATGGAATAAGTTTGGAACTGCTCTCTTCAGGCTTTTGGTAGATTTTGGAAAGGATTTTTGTTCTATAAATGCTTGATCTACATCACCAGTGAAGCCAACAAAACAAGGGCTTTTCTTCATGAGAGGTTTTTAATTACTGATTCCATTTCCTTAGTAGTTTTCTATCTATTCAGATTTTGTATTTCTTTGTAATCAAGTCTTGCATAAGTAGGAATCTGCCCACTTTATCTAGGTTTTCCAATTTATCATCCTATCATAGTTCACAGTACACTTTTTTAAACATTTTATTTCTTTGAATTAGTAGTAATGTCCCACTTTCATTACTCATTTTAGTATGTGAATATGCTGTTAATTTTTCGTGTGTGTAGCTGAAGTTTTGCCAATTGTTAATTTTTTGAAGAAATGAGAGTGAACTTTTGGTTTTTTGGAATTCTGTTGTTTGTGTAATCTCTATTGCATTTATCTCTGCTAAAATCTTCAATACTTTCTTCTTTCTCTTTGCTTTGCATCTAATTTGGTGTTATTTTTCTAATTTACTAGGTGATAAAGTTATTATTTATTTGAAATCTTTGCTCTTTTTAAATGTATCTTAGCTGCAAACTTTTCATCTTAACACTGTTTTTGCTGTTTCCCATAACTTTTGATATGTTTTGTTTCCATTTTTCTTCCTCTGTATGTTCCTACTTCTTCCGTGATTTCTTCCTTTACTTAATTTATACAATTTTGTAATTCTTTAAGTTGTAATTGTGTAGTTGTTTAATTTATACAATTTTGTAAACTTTCTAGCATTTCATCTGTTATTGATTTAATTTGAGATCTACTATACAGCCCATCCTGGAGAATTCCCCATGTGCATTTGAGAAGAGTGTGTACTCTGTTTTGTTGGATGGAGTATATTGTATATATCTGTTAGATCAATTTAGTTCATTGAGTTAGTCAAGTCCTCTATTTCCTAATTTGTCATTCATCTCATTTTTCTATTCATTACTCAGAGTGGAGTATTAACATCTTCAACTATTATTTTAGAACTGTCTATTTGTCCCTTTAATTCTGTCAACTTAGTCTTTCTATATCTAAATGTCTTATTATTAGGTATGTAAGTGTTTAAACTATTTCTATCTTCTTGCCAAATGCACGTTCTATGATTATATAATGTCTTATTGTCTCTTGTAACTTTTTAAGTCTATTTTGTCTGCTATTAATATAGTCATCCCCAGTCTCTTTTTCCTACTATTGGTATAAAATAATTATTTTCTTCCCTTTTTTATAACCCTGAATTGCTGTGGAAAGCTAACAGTAGCATTACTTAATTTAAAAAGCACAGAAATCTTAAATCAATAGCTTAATGTTTGTAAAAGCATTTAAATGGAAATAAGCTACCAGTTCACCAGGAACAAAGGATATCAGTTGGGTCTAAGAATAATCATGCCAAAAAGCTCTAGGAGGAAAAGCTCCTGGGAATTAGGACTGTGATAATGGTCTTTGAGATCAACAAAGAAATGGGGAAATGGGGATGCTCAGGGTCAGGTACATGCTTAGCAAAAGACCCAGAAAACCCTAAGCTGTCACCTGTGTACTTTAAACTCTGCACAAGTAGAAAATAGAGGCACAAGGAGAGTTGTAACTTTATGCTGATTAGTAAAGGCATGCTCCAACACACATACATAGATCCCAGGTGAAAAAAAATCAGATATTTATTTTTAGTGAAGGTTAAAAAATCTGGAGTCTTACTTTCCAATTAAGGATTAGTGAAAATATTTGGGGAGATTTGCATTGATCAGTTCATCCTGAGGTCAAGAAAATCTTGATTTTAAAATTTGGAGCCTCCAGTAAAGGATTAGCTTCCACCTAGAGGTGTTCTTTGGCCTTTTGGACTCAGAGCTATCTTGACACTACTACTGGTTACACTGATTTGAAAGTCAGCTAAGAGCTTGCTACAGAACTCCTGACAAACTAAGTTTGACCTATAGAGGGCTAGGGCATCCCCAGCTGGTTGAAATTTTGTGCCTCCTTCTATCCTCTGAAGCAAAGCTGCTGTCTCTGTGGGGCCCCCAATTTACTGAGTGTTTCCTATATGACTGGTCCTGGTTCATAGATGAGTCAGGGAAGGTGAAACCTCATGATGTCCACTGGGCCGCTGTGGCTGTTTAACCTGTGCCAGCCATACAGAACCTGACATGAGTGGTTGCTCCTCTCAAAGGTCAGAACTCAGGGTTTGGGATAATGGCACATATTCTATCTGTTTGGTTATCTACAATGGAAAGTGTAGACTGTCTGAATATCTTTTGGGCTGCAAACCGGAAACAACCCCAGATGCTGATCTAACTGGGTCACTCATCTAGAAGTCCATGGTAAGTGTTTTCCAGAGAGTGACCACAATCAAGCTGCAGATTGAACCTAAATCTGTGTCCAACCCAGAGTCTAATACTGCAAACCAGACTTGGGGTTGCTGGTGAAAGTTGACCTATCTGTCTCATGGTTGAAGAATTCCTAGACCATACCTAGCAGAGTAACCAGAAGTGGACTTTTAGCCCACTTCTTGAGATATCAGTAACCACTGTTGACTTCTTCAGCATAACAGTCATCTGACTCCAGCCATACCATGTGTCCCTTGAAGCTAATCTGTGCCACCTTTTAGGCTTTTGAGGCCAATTGAGCTCTGACTTCGTGGCATTTTTCACCACATCGACTAAAATGGGCCAACTCTACGATGTTCCCTCCTTTTCCACACATGTTGGTTAGATAATTCGTTGATTAGGTATGCTTTTCTCTGAAAGGGGATTATCTCTTCCAGATTGCCTCCAAGATAAGGATGAAATGTTTGGGGGATCTAGGAATCTATTTCACAAATTTGGAATTTCGTGCTAATAATTCCTGGGTGAAATGTCTTTCTTTCCCATACCTGCAATTCTAGACCAGCCTGGCTTTTGTATCCTCTGAGTTGCATCCCAGCCTAGCAGCAGTTATGGGACTCCAACTTAGTTCTGGTTAAGTTTTATGTAAATATTCTTGTATCTGTTTTACCTGGCTCTACTACACAAAATGTCTAGAAAAAAGTAAAGGGCGACTAGAATAAAGGTGAGATTATAGATATCGGAATGAGACACACTGATTCTGTGGAGATAGAGGGAGAACAACAACCTGGAACGTGGGAAATGAACAACTTAGACCTCGGAAGCTACGGGGAATGGTGGGACATTAACAACTTTTTTTCTTTCTGAATAACCCCTGGTGCAGCCCACAAAAGAGTCTGGAAATACTATTAGAACAGACGGTAAGACAGAGGCTGTGGATTCAGCTCCTTTTGGTCTCCACGTTACTCTTAAGAATCCTTTGAGACTATTCTATCTCTCTGTGATGTAGGCATGGAACTCTAGTGGGCAGTGTGCACTCTCGGTGCCCATGGTTCAACGCCACAGTTTTTCAGATGATGGACAACCATTGCTTTTTCCTGAAGAGACTTAGTACCCTGTGGCTGAGCTTAAGCGGGACTCTAGGAATTACTGATTGCATTTTCTTCTTCTTCTGTGAACTGCGATTTCTCCTTCTGTTTTTCTACTACCTAGAGATTAATCTGTATTTGTCAATATTTAGGTAAATCAGAGACATAAAGCAGATAAGGAACCCTAGACACAGCTTCTAGCATAGCTGGACTCTTGCCTGTTTCTCTTCCCACTTTATGAGATCAATTATATTGGCACAGAGAGATAGCCTTAGATGGGTCTCTCAGGATCAATTAGAGAAGCATACTTCTAGAGAAGCTGGTAGAACAGGGCAGGAGGGCCAGTGAGGATCAAAGCTTCTATCCAAATGTTTTAGCCTAGCTGTGTGTGGCAGACGAATCCAGGAAAGCTCCCAGATCCCTGGAAGGGATTATTAAGAGAGGATCCATTAGATTAGAATGCTAGGTTGGGTGTTCATCTATCACCTTCTGAGTCAGATTTCCAGGGTTAAGTCTGTGGTAGGGCTGCAGAGAAATGCTCGCCTGGGAAAGCCTCTGATCAAGTGCAACATAGGTGACTCCCGCACAGGGAGAAGTCCTCTATTTGAGGAACATCATATGTGTTTGGATGTATCTGTGCTCTTCCTCAGCAGAGGACCATTGACTGAATGACTGTTTGACAATTACGCATAAAGAGCCCTATATTATTTTGAATTTAGTAAATATTGGAACAGAAACAAACAATATTATCTACTTTCAAATTGAATAACAGCATGAGCAACTTCCAGGTAAATGTCACAGGAGGAAACTCTGGGGCCTTGCTCATCACCAGAAACCTTGAAAATCCTGATGCAACCTGTAGGGTTAACCTTATCAACACTTAGTTTTTTACCATATAGATTTATCTTCATAAAAAATATTTTCTTTGGACCTTTATTTTGTTATATGCCATGAAGAATAAATCATTTATTTCCTTTGCGATAAGAACATCACATTTTTACACCTCAAGTATTAATGATGCCATCCCCCATGTAGTTTTTGTTGCGATGGCCTGAATGTTTATGTCCCTTTGCAAATTCCTATGTGGATAATTTTAGGCGTGTGGCCTTTGGGGAAGTGGTGAGGCCAAGAGTTCTTCATCTTCATGAATGGAATCAGTGCTCTTTCAAGGGAAGTTGAAGGCAATGCCCTTGTCCCGTGTGCAAGATGGTACCATCTATGGGGAACAGGGCTCTCAACATATACTAAATTTTCTGCTGCCTTGATCTTGCACTTTCCAGACTCCATAACTGTGAAAAATACATTTCTGTTGTTTATCCTTTACCCAGTCTGAGGTATTTTGTTATAGCAGCCTGGATGCACTATGACACTTTCTTAGGCACTTTGGTCTATTTCTGAATTTTTAGTTTCAGTGACATATGAGTTTTTAATCAATCAAGATTTTTCACAGAGCTTGCCAGTCTTGTTTTTTGCTTTTTTTTCAGAGTTTTCTTGTCTATTCTTATGTGTGTTTTCATCTATATAATATTTTATAGTAACGTGTACTTCCAATATTTAATGGTATCTGTATAGGAACAAAATTGAATTTATAAATAAACTTAAGGACAATTGATGTTGATAATATTGAGATTTGCTGCCTAAGAATATGATACAAATTGTCTATTTGCTTATGTCTACATTCATATATTTCATAAACTTTCTATGTTTTTCTCATATTCTGTACACATTTTTGTAATGTTTATTCCTAGTTTATTTTATTCTGCTAAAAAGTAATTTGAGACACAATGAAATTGCCAAGTGTCTATTTGAGTAAGAGCAATTGATAAATTATAAAATATCAGACCAAAAGTTATTTAGTGCTTCTCTGACAGAGTAAGAAGCAAGTATTTATTGAAAAAATGTAGAAACAAAAAAATCATTTGATTGGTGGTAGCACAACTTTTTTATTGTTTTTTGTTCGTCTGTTTATCTTGTTGGACAGTTTCTATTTATATAAGGATGTTGGCTACTCCTGATTGGTTGAGCTTCATTTCTCTTTTTTAAATAGGCAGCTACAAGAAATATTTAAGTTTTGCTTGTATTTGCAAATCAAGCAAGGTTGAGATCACTTATGAGACCTAACTAATTTCGTCTGCTCAGAGATTATTGAGACGTGATCTCCATTTTAATTTATTTTAACAAATTTTCTGTACTTTTAATTCCCATCCAAACTGTAACTTATAAATTATTATTGTTGTACATATATAGGCCCATGTTGTGTATGCTTTGAAGACATGTCCTGCTTTCAAACTCATTTGTATTATGTTATTATTGAATTTGCCCCATTTATTGGAATTATATACTGCAATCTCCCAACTACAAGAGGTATGAGTTCTGAGGAGATCACAGTAAAGATGAGTCAGAAGTGAAAACGGTTCTCCAACTCACACATGCAGTAAAAACAAATTTCACGTGGATATAATGAGTAATTATTTAAAATTTAAAATACCCTGAAAACATTAACGTTTATCTCATTACTATGTAATATGGAAATTACAAGACAAAAAAACCCAAAGACTTATTTTTAAAATAGAAATGGAGCTTTTTATATGATGAAATGGTCCATAATTTAAATGTAAAAAGTGAATAGGAAATACATGAAATAAAATAAAATTATTTGTAAAAGTGACAATGCCCGTATTAGATTTAACAATATCTTACAATGAAATAAGTTGAAACCTACAAAATAGAAGAAAGTTTAAAATTAGGCAAATATTATGAGCCAGGTGAAGAATAAATACATATATCAATAAGCATTTAATGTATTTTGTCTTAGATTTTATATGAAATAATAAAAAGTAAGCAAACCAATAGCAAGGTAATTTCACCCTGATTGATTCAAACTGAAAAAATATTAACATTTCTCCATTGGAAGTTGGATTCATGGATTGGCCTCATGCTGCATTCAAGGCACTTTAGCCAGGACCCAACACTCATTGCCAAGAGTCATCAGGCTAGAAGTTTGCTTTTAAGATGTTCCCCGGCCTGCGACCAAGACACTTTGTCTTGACTACTTCTTCAACTCTGACATAGGTTTTGCTGATATAAATGAAAACCCAGCTCTATACCTACCAAGCATCTACATGGCTAGAGCTGCACATTGAATATTTAGGCACTAGGCAAGAGGTCTTCCCAGGTTTCCAAGCAGACTTTCTAGAATTTCCCAAAAATACTGACATTGTCTTTTTCAGACCCAATCTCCCAAAGAGAATCAGAGAGATGGTCTGGAAGCCATTTAGAATCTCCAGCCTCCAATTTAGTAACAATGGACTTGGATACAAAGAGGCAACCTACTGACCTCAAAGACACCAGCCCAGATTCTGGGCATTGAATTCCTGCCTCCCCATGAAAGATCTCATCTGAGTCACATCAAAGCCCACACTCTTCTTCAACGTTCACCTTCCAGACACGCTCCAAAACAGCCCCTCAGAATTGTCTTGAGATGAAACAAAAGGTGATGAAGCTCCAGGTTTGGAATGCCTGCCTCATTCCTCACTCCTGAAAAGTCTACACCTGCTGGTTAGAACTCTCATACCTTAGGGAGCCCGGGCTCTCAGAGTGCATCCTCTAACAGGACCTCCTGGCCTTTTCCTCCTTGGAGGAGAGTGCCCAAGAATAAGAGGGAATACATGGCCTCCACTCTCACTTGACTTGATTGACTGATTAACTGATGTCTGAGGAGGAAACATATGTAGGGAACAGCCTGGGTCTTTTGAATCCCTGTTCCCCAGCTATGATGCCTGTGCAAATGGAGGGAGAATCCCAAAGTATTGTTGGGAGGTAGACAGACACTGGCTAACACAATTAAGTAAATATAAGGTGACTTGAAGGGAAATTTATCATATGTCATATACAAAATTTTAGTTAGTGAACTTTATTTAAAAACAGTCACAATTTGTAAGGGGAGTAAAGTATAATTTTAATGGGGAACTATGAAAATTATCTGCACTTGCTATGTAAATGATTGAGTTAGGGGTAACAATCTGAAGGTCATGAGCTTGATATCTGCTACTTAATTTCATAAGACATTTACTTGCAAATGGTTGTCATTTTTGCTCTCACCATATGAAAATTTTTTCTTGCTAAGAGCATTCCTATGAAAGAAAAACTAGAAATTTTGCCAATTTCGGTTATTAAAACAATAAAACTGGTTTGTTTGTTATTCTTAACCAAATGCTCCTACAGATGGCACATAGTACCCATGCTTTGATTGTTTTTTTCCCACCTTAAGTCAATTGCCTTTCATTTTATTCATCAAACTGTTTTTACTGTAGATAGACATTGCAGTTGTCATGTGCCCTATGGATTTGTACTTTATTAGAAATATGAATTCTCAGGCCGAGTATATTGGCTCACGCCTGTAATCCCAGCACTTTGCGAGGTGGAAGAGAGTGGATCACCTGAGGTCAGGAGTTCAAGAACAGCCTGACCAACATGGTAAAACCCCATCTCTCTACTATTTACAGTTCGCATTGTACCTTGCAATGAATATACATTTTATCCAAAAAGCCTAAAAAATAATGAAATTGGGGGTGGGGGCATGGCTGGAAGTATAGATAAAACAAAAATGACACATGACTAGCAGCTGTTAAAGCTGGGTGACTGGTCTGTTATACTTTTTTTGTATTGTGTATGTTTTTAGTGATCTGTAATAAAACACTTGTACAAAATGACAAAGTTTATCTACACTTAGCTCTTAAGGTCTTGGTTACCTTTGGGAAGGGGAAAGTGTCAGGGGCATGAACAAATCTGATTCTTAGATACACAAGTGTATTTATTTAGTAATAATTCATCAAACATTCCCTAAATGCTTTGTGCCTATATTGCTGTATGCATGTTATTTATCAATAAAAATGTAAAGAGTGCATGTTTGCATAACAATCCTAAATTAATATTTTAGAATAATAGCAATGTTTTGTTTTGTTTTCAAGTGGGGCGTGTTCACTCAGGACATCATCAGGTGTATGTTAATGTTCCAAGTTATTTATTTATGTTTTAACTTTTGGGTGAGCCCCCCTGGGTCTTTTAATTTTTACTTCAACACAGTAAGTAGCATGGTTTTAACTTTTTGGAATGCAGCTTTGTTTTCATCAAGGTTCTCCCCGAAGAATGATGCTCACCCAGGCCAGGGCACACAGTGACCCGTGCACAGGATGCACTGAGCACACACGGCACTGGGTGAACCAGGAACAGAAGGAGAAGCCAGCCTGGGTCTGCAAAATATACTTTGCAGGAAAAGCAGGTAAAATGGAAAGGTCACAATTCAGCAGCAAACGTTTTCACATTCATTGGAGAAATCATTTCTAACAAAAGCTGCTCGTTAAAGCCATGGTTTTCTGGCTTGCCTACACATTGTAATCACCTGCACGACTTTCAACCATATTTTTTTCAGATCCAGCTCCAAGGATTCTGATTTAGTTGTGCGGTTACAACTTGGGTTTAAGGGATTTTGAAAGTTTTCCTCCCCGCAGGTGATTCTCTTGCGCCAGGGGTAAGAAGCGCTGGATAGGGGTGAGGGATGCTTTAGCTGTGAGAGATAGCCATGTACGCTTCAGGATTTGCCCCATCGCATATCTGGAGTTCGGGGTCTTAGAAAGCTTTCTTGCCCTGTTAAAAATTAAAGGATGGCTTCAATACATACTTAGCTGCTTGGCTACATTGCAGAAAAACAAATTGCCTTTCCAGAGATCAGTTTTTTGAGACAGGGTTTTGCTCTGTCAGCCAGGCTGGAGTACAGTTGTGTGATCATGGTTCATTGCAGCCTTGACCTCCCAGGCTCAGGTGATCCTCCAGCTCCAGCCTTCTGAGTAGCTGGGACTGAAGTCATGCACCACCAGGCCTGGCTAATTTTTCAAATTTTTTTTTTTTTTTTTTTTTTTTTTTTTGTAGAGATGGCTTTCTCTATGCTGCCTGGGCTGGTCTCAAACTCCTGGTCTCAAGTGATCCTCCCACCTCAGTCTCCCTAATAGTTCGACCTACAGGCACAGGGAAGCATGCCCGGTATATTTATTAAAAAGTAGTTACCAGAATATTTAAAATTCACTTGTGCCTCTCATATTATTTCTTAGAGAATTGCCTCCCTTTTGAAATCTCAGGCTGCCTGCTCTAAAACCTGGATGTGCCAGGAAAGTAAAACATCTGAAATTTTAAAACAATTGTCATTATATTGATTCCATATATGAATAACACATATATATTATTCATTAATACAAATAATCTTACATACAAATGTAAATGCAAATATTTTACAGGCAGGGCCAGTTTCTAGTTCACAGAGGAAGCCCTGCCAGAAAAGGATCCAGGAAAAACCTATAATTCTTGCTTTATTCAACCCAGTGTCAAATCACATATGTCACTCATGGTCTGAGGCGGCAGGGTAGGGAATTGAACTACATCCAATCATGGGTCTTGGAGTGGAAACTATCTAATCAGGTGCACAGCTGGAGAAGAATGGGCAGCTTTTTGGAAGTACGGAGGCCTTGGCCTGTCTCTCCACTCAGAGCTCAGGACACTAGAGCCACCTCAACATAATCACCTGTTTTTTAGTTATTTTAACACTCCAAAAGGGAACTAGTTTTCTCATGCATTTTCCAAATGTGTGGCAGGCAGAGACTCAAATCTAACTCCCTGTTGCCCCAGCCTAACTCTGGCTTGCAATCAGATTTTAAATTTCCAGTTCTTTCCTGACACTCACCAACACTAACTAACCTTCCATAATTCACAACATTATCAACTGTTCTTTATTGTATATTTCAGACACAGTATTTCAATTCTTCTTTTTGTCAAAAAGCAGTGGATGTCATTTAAAAAAATTTTTTCTCATTTGTAAACATTTTACAGGAGATGAAAGCAGAGAATAATCCCCTGACACCCCACTGTAAAAAAAATAAATAAAAAGCGGAAAACCTTTGTGCCCCTTTGTTTAAACTTCTCTTGGCACAGACACCCCATCAGAAAGCCTTTGGGTTCAGGTTTCATTTTGGAAACTTCACAGGGCAATACATCCTCAGCCATCCTGTTATTTTCTTGGTTTTGAATTTCAAAACTGTTTGAGGATTCCCCAAGATGCCAACAGTGGCCATGACTCTTGAAGTGTCTAGTAAATAGCATCCCTTGTGTCATCTCCTCTCAGGGAACAGCCCAAGGTATGGGAATGCAGCCTCTCTGTGGAGTGGTTGTTTGAGATGTGCCTGGAAGGAATCTCTAGGTATACCCTTGCGCTAAAAGCAAACCCATTAGGTCATTAAGATTTTCTTACCCCAAAGCTTAGTTTCCATTCCTTAGAGACACATTGCAGGCCAGGCAAATGGATGCTGATATTGAGGAAAAAATGTTCTCAGATTGGTGAAGGGAGAGAAAATATTTCAAAGGACAAAGAAACCCAACCTAGTGAGGCAGTGCAAAAACCTGCAAAGTAAAATGCACCTCAGGGACACAGAGGAGCACAGGGTAGCGGCTCCTGGTAGGATGGTCATGACCCACTTCACTGAACCAGATGTGAGTGGGGAAAATATCCCAAGTAATAGAATGGCTTGACTTGACCCTTGGGTCTGATATGTCTGTGTTTCAATCGGCACTGTCACCTTCTAATTTTGTCACCTTGAAAATGTTTTTGTACTTACTTTAACTTCACTTTTTAATTAACTGTAAACTATGTTTTATCAGTAGAGCTTGAAAGGCATGAAAATATTTATAAAGCACATTAAGTTGGTGAATTTTGAATAAAATTAAGTAGTAATATATTTCACTTGTTAAAAATTGTTACTTGCCTATTTCTTTAGCAGAATGAGTGTCGTACATTTCCCAGGACTGTTTTTTATTTGTCTGAGAGGTGATTTCAAGCAGAATCTCACGGCTTACTGTTGGGAATGTTACCAGGTGTATTGATAGGGATAGTCTCTCTTCCACTACGGTGGTAGGAAATGAATACATACCTACAAGCACGTGAGGTAGATTAATTGTTAAATTACATAAATTTATCACATCAGTTATTCTTTTTTCAAAACAGAGAACTTCTGATAGTGAGTATCTCTGTTCCATATGCTGTCATCTGGGTGTTTGAGGGTAACGCTAAGTTTTAGGAGCTGGGACTTGGCACCGCCTGGAAGTGTTCACATATGATTGTTTACTAAATGATTTGTTATGAACATAATTAAATTACATGTTTATTTTCTGAAAGGGATAGATACTTTGGCTTTTCTTGTTGAGTTATAAAATGTAAGCCCCTTATAACTTTCTTTTTTAATTTTAATTTTATTTTTTAGACTTAGTGTCACTCTTGTTGCCCAGTCTGGAGTGCAATGGCACGATATTGGCTCGCTGTAACCTCCACCTCCCGGGTTCAAGCAATTCTCCTGCCTCGGCCTCCCAAGTAACTGAGATTACAGGAATACACGACCACCCCCGTTTAAGTTTGTATTTTTAGTAGAGACTGTGTTTCTTCATGTTAGTGAGGCTGGTCTCGAACTCCTGACCTCAGGTAATCTGCCCGCCTCAGCCTCCCAAAATGCAGGGATTACAGGCATGAGCCACCATGCCCGACCATAATTTCCTCTCTTTTAAACCTTAGATTTGAATGATTTTTGCTGGATTCTTCAAACATGAAGTATTTTTTAAATTGAAAACTAATTGAATGACTTTAACTGGTAAGTAGAAGTCTTAGACCGTTGACTAAAAGCTAAGGCTAACGTTGACCCTGCAAAAGGGGGCCACTGAAGGCCCAGTTGATTATTCCTGGGTGTCTGCCCTGCAGACATCAAAGTCTGCTCACACCAACCATAGAAGGAGCCTTTGTCACTGTCAGAAGATACAGAGCTTTGGTAAGCTGGAAGTTGACAGGCAGATGCAGTTGGGGTTGAGATTGAAGAAAAGTTGGGATATTCTTTCTAGAATGGAGTTTTTATTGTCCTGAGACTGTTTATAGACTTTGTCTAAGAAGTTACTTAAGAAGTGTTGTAACAAGGAAAAAGTACAAATGATTAGATCTTTGAGGATCTCAAAGGTTAGGTGGAAAAGGGTTTTATTTCATAGGGAGGAGAAAATAAGTTTACAAAGAAGGTTGGAAAGGAAGCACAGGATGGAGGGTAGCAAAATCAGATCCCAGATAAGATAATGTTTCATCTTGAAGTCAGCCTGTTCTTAGGAGGGATATGTATAAATATGGGTTGTAGGTTCTCTGAGGCTGTGGGTGAGTCAAAGTTCAGGGGCTGAGGGAAGAAGGGGAACAAGCAAAGTTTTGTTAACAAGTACTCTGTTTTGACCACTGAAGACTAAATTACAGAATGGTTGTTCATTTTTAAAAATAGGAATTTGTAATCTGTGTCCGTCTTTGTGATAGGTTAAAAAAAAGGGGGGGGGGAACATCCACAAAGTCATAATGGGAAGCACGTTTCTCTTCACTAAGCTGTTCTTTGAGAACACAAAGAATGGGGGAATTTCTTTAAATATAGCTATTTCCAGGATTACCTTCACCCACAACTGTTCCTTTTCCTAGACATCTCTTTCATTTGTCAGTTTCTGAGTTGTATTTTTATAATAAAGTGGTAAATATAATTAGACTTATTTGTTGAGTTTTTTTGAGTAACTCTATCAAATTATTTAACTTGAAAAGGGGTTTATGGGAGTCTCAGATTTATAGGCAGTAGCTCAGAAGTATAGATGGGCTTATGGGACATGTGACTAACCTCTGCAGTGAGAGGGGTGATGTGGGACTTAGCCCTGAATTTGTGGGATCTGTGCGAACTCTAAGTTGTGTCAGAATTAAATTTTGGGGCAAGAAATGGGTGTTGGAGAAGCAGTGGGTTTTCAGGGAACTTTACACATTTAGGATCAAAAGTGTTGTAAGGAGAAAGACAATGTGGGGGCCTTTGCTGGAGAGAGACTCCAGGTGTCTCGGGGAAGGTAGGCTCTGCTCTGCACACAGGCTGCTACGCCATGCACTGCCCTGTGGTTCCAGGCATCCTCCCATGGTAAGAAGGACCGACGACTCTGAGGGAAGAAGTTCTGAGAACAGATGCCTTCTACCCTCCTGCCAACCTGAGGCCACCACATGTTTTTCACCCACTGAACATACACACTGCATGTTGACGTGGTCAAGCCCCTCTCAGGACAAGGCTTTGGCATCAAGATTGTTGCCCATCCTACCTTTCCTCATAGACTTTCCCACCAAAAACCCACACACGTGCCTACAAGACCCCTGGCATATGTTCTACTTCAGACACCGAATCTGCAGTGGCAACCTGGTTTTTTCACCATCGCAGATTTCTGTGCCACCTGATCATAATCTCGTCTTCCTGCATGAACATAGAAATAACTCAGAGAAAAGTTTCACCTGGGTCAGTGTCTGTAGCATGAACCAGTCCTCCCACCAACCCTGTACAGTCTCTCACTTCTGGTTTCTTAATAGCACCTTCCCCTCTTTTACCTTTTAGTTCACCTCAAACCCTTTCTTTTATGTGCACACAGTGTGCCCAAGGCCACCCCTCAGTTGCCTGAATCCAGCACCTACCAAAATTCAGATGTCCAGTAGTTCAAGACCATGGGCCTAGACTAAGTTTTTGCAGAAGGCAATACAAATTAGAAATGAGAGGCTCTATTCTCCCATTTGAAAATAAAAAAAAGATTTTTTTCTTTTCCTTTTTCTTAAACAATGTAATCTGGAAAACTTTAATTAGTAATTTTTTGAGGCAGAATCTTACTCTTTTACTTAGCCTGAAGTGCAACGGCATAATCATAGCTCACGGTAACCTTAACCTCTTGGGTTTGAGCAGTCCTCCTGCATCAACCGCTTAATTACCTAGGACTATAGGCATGAACCACCATGCCTGGCTAGCTTTATTTATTTTTGTTTTTATTTTTTTTCAAGACAGTGTCTTGCTCTGTGGGCTAGGCTGGAGTGTAGTGCCATGATCTTGTCTCAATGCAACCTCCACCTCCCAGATTCAAGCAATTCTCCTGTCTCAGCCTTTTGAGTAGCTGGGATTACAGGCGCACACCACCATGTCTGGCTAATTTTTTGTTATTATTATTTTTAGTAGAGAATGGGTTTTACCATTTTGGCCAGGCTGGTCTCCACCCCCTGACCTCATTATCCACCTGCCTCAGACTCCCAAAGTGCTGGGATTACAGGTGTGAGCCAACATGCCCAGCCATATTTATTTTATTTTTTTGTAGTGACAGAATTTCACCATATTGCCTGTACTGGACTCAAACATTTGGCTTGAAGGTATCCTCATGCCTTGGCCTCCCCAAATGTTCAGATTACAGGCATGAACCACCATGAGTGGCCTGGAACACTTTTACATGTACCTTTTTTTCTCTGCTTCTTTGAAATATAAGCAAATCATTTTAACAGCTAAATAAGCCTTCTGTCATTCTTCATGACAGAGAATTGTCTTTATCTAAGACCTGGAAACTATTGCTTTGTTTTTTAATTTGGCAAAGATTTATTTATTTTTTATTTTCAGTCCTTTGAAGTAGGCACAGCGCAGTACAGTGGCTCATGTTTTTAATCCTAGTGCTTTGGGAGGCTGAGATGAGAGAATTGCTTGGGCCCAGGAGTTTGAGACCAGCCTGGGCAGCATAATGAGACACTTTCTTTATAACAAATTAAAATCAACTAGCAGGGCATGGTGGCACAGGAGGCTGAGGTGAGAGAATCATTTGAGCTCAAGAGTTTGAGGCTGCAATGAGCCATGATCACTCCAATCTACCACTGTATTCCAGCCTGGATGACAGAGGGAGACCCTGTCTCTAAATAAATAAGCAAATAAAAAAATGTGTTTTTCCATACATAAAAATAAGTTAATAAACAGATAAATAAAATAGACATGGATTTGCTTAGAATAAAGCTAATTATAAGATAACAGAAAAGTGAGCACCAAAGATGGGGTTCACCTTAGCAAGTGATTCCAGCCTATTAGGACACTCACAGAATTCTCCCTGCAGCATGACCAACATGAAAGTAGAATGTCATCATGTCAGGCTATACCAGCGTCGGAAGACTAAACACTGTGGGGAAGAACCTCCCTTATGGAATATTATCAACAGGTGAGAGACCAGCTCCTGCCCTGATGGGCTACAGAGATGAATTCTTGAGATAACACATTGCAGAAACATGCATAGAGTAGTTTAACCTTTTTTGTGTGTAACCCTTTCTCCATTTTCCTGCAAAATCCTCCCTAGAAATAGTGTTCGCTTTTAAGTTTTGAGGGTCTGGTAGGACTGAAGCTGCATGCTGCAGGAGATACCTGGGGTAGGAAACTAACACAAACTGCAGCTACAGGCACAAATACTCATGGCCTAATGTAAAGTGAAAACAATAGAAAGGTCTTTACTGTTATTCACCCAAGTGAGTGAACAGAGACTTTCCACATAACCAACTTGCCACTGAGACTAATGAAGGCCAGATTCCACTGGATCAAGACTATGAGTTACTCATGGGAAGATCATAGGACACAGCCCAGAGAGTTTTCATACTGGAGTCTGGGTACTGGGTCTGTCCCGGTCTTCTCGGGTTTCTGTCTGTAGAGACCCCTATGTGGCTGCTCTTACCACAGCCCGGTGCTGGCTGTGGTTGCTGGCTTAGTGCACCTGGTCTTTTTCCAAAAAGAGGGAGGAGTTGGCCACATCAAGAAGCTCCTCATCAATCTGAATGCAGCTCTGTAAAAAGTGCCTAGAAACCACGCAAAGAAAAGTCAGTGGTCTGCCTTGTTTTCACCGTATGTGACACCTCCACTAGAAATTCTGCTTTTCTCTGCACTCCAGCCTGGGTGACAGAGCGAGGCTTCCTCAAAAAGGAAAAAAGAAAAAGAAAAAGAGAGAAAGAAAGACAGAAGGAAGTAAGGAAGAAGAAAGAAAGAAAAAGAAAGAAAGAAAGAGAAAAAAAGAAGAAAGAAAGAAAGAAAGAGAAAGAAAGAAAGAAGAAAGAAAGAAAGAAAGAAGAAAGAAAGAAAGAAAGAAGAAAGAAAGAAAGAAAGAAAGAAAGAAAGAAAGAAAAAGAAAGAAAGAAAGAAAGAAAGAAAGAAAGAAAGAAAGAAAGAAAGAAAGAAAGAAAGAAAATAAAAGAGAAAAGAAAAGAAAAGAAATTCTGCTCTTCAGATTAGGCACATAAGGAGAATCTGTATGAATCTCCAGCAAGGAAGGAAACCAGAGGACAAGTTAAAGTCTTGGAATTCACATCTGAGTACACAGACTCGTTCTCCAACCCTCTTCTTTTTATTCTGCCAGCTATGGCCTAGGTATGAACATGACAGGTACACAAGGGTTCCAACACCTGACAATCTGCTTCAGTAAAAGAAGAGTGCCCTCCCTCTTGCTCCCCATACAACTCATGGTACTAAGAAATGGTGTGGGACTTCCCAGATGAGTTGACAAGAGAGGCCTGGCTCTGGGGCCTGTCCTGAGCTGCCCTGTGTTATTTGTAGGTGCACCCGGCCAATAGCCAGGGGCATCAATGATGAGGCCTGAGTTGACATCCGTGTTTTCAGATAAGGCTTTTACACTGAGCCTTTGTAAAGTCAAAACTCAGAAATTTCAGGGCACAATGAAAGAACATCTCACTCTCTTGAGCATCTCTCACTAACAGAGGTGGATACAGAGCTGTCTCAAGAATGTGGGTTCCTGGTTTCTTAACTGATGTTGGGTTGTCACCAAGAAAGTGTGTTAAACTCTTCAAGGTTCCATCTACTGGGTCCCTTCTTTCTGTAAGACCTACCCAAAAGCCCCACTATGCTACTAATTGCTCAGTCTCCTCTTCCATGTCAACTCTTCATTTGTACACAAGTATGCAAACACAACTTCCCCTTAATTCCCTGGAAAGAACTAAATGCAGCCTGGGTTCCAGGATATAAGAGACAGCTGGAACATAACCTTGTTTTTCTTACCATCTCTGGGACCCAATAAAAGTCACTGTGTATTTGAGGCTTCCCCAGCCTCCAAGCATGCACAGTGGGGATGATGCTAACATCTACTTCCTAGGGATTGTATTAGATGTATATAAGATAAAACATAAAAATCATGTGGTGTTACCTGTAGATAATGCACACACTTAGAGATGGAAGCATTAGGAGAATATGTAGAAGGTAGCATGGGCCACAACTCAAACAAGCCTGGGTCTGGCAGGGTGATCTTGGGAATGTCACTTCTCCACTGCGCTTCATTTTCATTCTGCTCCAGTATGAAGTTGAAATTAAATGTAGATACTGTCCTCTGGCATTCATATAGTTTAGCTGTGTGTTCCACCCAAACTTCTCTGTGTATTATAACCCCCAGGTGTTAAGGGAGAAACCTGAGGGGAGATGATTGGATTATGGGGATGGGTTCTCCTCATGCTGTTCTTGTGATAGTGAGTTCTCATGAGATCTGATAGTTTCATAAGCATCTGGTACATCCCATGCTCTCACTCACTTCACTTGTCAGCCACTGTAATTGGAAGGTTTCTGAGGTGCCCTCCCAATTATGTGGAACTGTGAGTCAATTAAACTTCTTTTCTTTATCAATTACCCAGTCTCAAGTACTTCATCATTGCAGTATGACAAAGTCCTAATACAGCCATTCAACTTTCTAGTGCTTTCTCTTTATATTTAGAATCATATCCATGTGCCTTCTCACGTCTATGACAGGGAAACTCTTCACAAAATCTCACAGTACTAGGTGGTTAGTGACTCAGTTTTTTATTGAATAAAATGGCCTACAGCCTGATGACAGTAATATGGCCCTTGGGTTTTGAGGAAAATATCATGTTGTAGGTTGGCCAAAAAGGAGATAGCAGTCCAGCTGAAATTTGTTTTCTTATACTGGCTTTAAGGCAGTGATTAGAAAAGGCCTAAGAGGTGGGTTCTGTAAGGGATTGCTGGAAGGAAAGTAGGAATATGGAAAGTCATGAGACATATACTGTCATCTCTTCTTGCTTCCTCTCAAGTCACATGCAAATTCAGGGAGAGTTAGTATGAAACACACAATGGAAATTTGGGCTCTAACATATGCAATCTGATTCTTCATGGACTTCATTTGGCCATATCAGTTCCAACAATTTCAGCCAATGTTTAAAAATCTTATAAGCAGATAACATTTTAGTGTTTCAACAAGCCATTTCCTATCTTTCATTCTGAAAATCCATTTTAAGTCATTTTTTTAACAGCATAGGGGTACAAATTCAGCTTCTGTCCAATGAAATACAGAAAAGGATATCACTTTTGTATTAGTTCAGGCTGCTATGCCAAAGAACCATAGATAAGCAGCTTATAGACAACAGGACTTAATTTCTCATACTTCTATAGGTTCGAAATTTGAGATCAGGTTGTCAGCACGGTTGAGCTCTGGTGATGACTCGCTTCTGAATTTCAGACTGCAGACTTCAAGTTTTACCATCATTTTGCAGAAGGAGGAAGAGAGCCCTCTGCGGTTCCTTGTATAAAGCCAGTAATCTCTATTATGAAGGTCCCACCCTCAGGAGTTAAGTACATCTTTCATCCGTATAGCATTACAACGGGGGTTACAATTTTAACATAAATACAGGAGAAAAATTATTGGAACTCTCAAGATTTTTGTTTCCTTTTTTTTTTTTTGAGACAGTTTCACTCTTGTATCCCAGGCAGGAGTGCAGTGGTGTGATCTCGGCTTGCTGGAACCTTCGCCTCCCAGGTTCAAATGATTCCCCTGCGTCAGTCTCCCAAGTAGCTGGGATTACAGGCATGCACCACCACACCTTGCTCATTTTGTACTTTTAGAAGAGACGGTGGTTTCACCATATTGTCCAGGCTGCTTTCAAACCCCTGACCTCAGGTGATCCACCCGTCTCAGCATCCCAAAGTGTTGGGATTACAGGTGTGAGCCACCGCACCCTGTCAAGATTTTTCTAAAGCTCTCATTTTTCTCCTACTGGGTTTTTCCTGTTTGCGCCCTCAATCTTTCTCTGTCTCTTTTTGTGTACACCTTTTTGTCTAATTCTCTCTCTCTATTGTATACCTCAAACACAGGAAGCAAGCTTCAATGCTATGAGATGCTCCATGTAAAGACCAACATAACAGAGCCTGAGGGGGTGCTCAGACCAGTAGAGAGAAGGAAAGTCAGGCTCTCCAGCCACACTAAACCCTGCCAATTTTCACATGAGTCAGCTTAAAGGCTCATGCTTTCCCAGTCCAGCTTCAGTTAAGACCACAGTCCCAATGTCATAAAAGACCTAAAGGCAGAGGTACCCAACTGAACTGTGTCCAGATTCTGGTCCACATAAATTATGAGATATTATATGTTGTTGAAAAGTGCTGACTTTTAGGGCAATGTTGTCAGAAAGGAGCAGATATCTAACCTCATCTCCCAGGCCCTAGGATTCTCCATCCCTCTACTTATATCTTCCTCAGGCTGTCTGCAGCCAAACTTTCTAACCTCTGCCGAACTCACACCTATGAGTCTCTTCACTAAGGGTGGCTTCTCCCTGACACATACTTGTGCAGAGATGTCTCCCTGTTGTCATCCTTATCATGGATTAAACATCACCACAATGAGGCCTTAGTTCCTCCCATGCAATAATTTTCCAGCTTTTCTTCTCAACATTCCACTTTATATTATAGTCCTTCCTCTTTTCTTTCACATATACTTGCTTTAGTGCTTTTATCCAGCTGTCCTCAGAATGTTTGGTCCTGGGTTGGGGGGTGCAGGCATCATGTAATAATTTTCTGTACCACGTTGCACCCACCTGGTTAGCTGGCAAAGGGTGAGCGCAAGGGAAAAAAGACTGGCTAAGTGATTATATGGAGGATCTCTAATATCCCTTCCTCTTTTGACCACCTGATAATGTGGAGATCATTGATAACAACATGAGATGTGTGACTCTTACTTGTTCCAGCTGCTCCAGCAAAGCTCAGTGGGCACCAGAAACAGAGCTGGCTGTAACCACCTCCAGGCCATCACTAACTCTATGGCCCAATGCAGGAGCACTATGGAACAAATCAGGTATCTTGATTTTTCTGTCCTCAAGACACTGGTTCTTCAAGGTCCTAGGGGATAAAGTAGCAGAATCTGAAGGCCCCAAGTACAATGAGTGACCTTGGAATCCCCCTTTGCCTTCTATTTGCCTCTACCTTTTGGGTTGTGCTATTTATCCATGAGATATCCTCCCCTTATCCAGTGAAATTAGTTTCTACCACTTTCAAATGAGGACCTTAAGAACCCAACAGGAGCTGGGATTTTCCGTGGACTTCAGCCTCAGAGTCCAATGCTCTGGAACATTTAGCTCCGTCTCATCTTCATCTACCCAAGATGCCTCTGAAGTGGCCATGCCTCCCTCTGATTTGAAGGACCTACAGAGAGTGGATGCATTTCTGCACAGTCTCAGAGCAAGAATCAGGGCTGGAAGACACTTATGAGTATGTGAAATCGTCGAGGTCACCCAGTTCAAACAGCCCTATTTATGAGGAAGAAAACAGGCTTTCCTGCAGGCATTCTCTACATTACGCTGAGGTGGAGCATAGCTCATTTTACTTCCAGGTGCCCTCAGAGCTGGATGCAAAACCCCAGTCCTGTCATCTTGAAATTGACATGGAGAGGTCCCCATGTGAACAGAACCCTGGATCTGCTCATTCTCTGTGCCCCTGAATGTGAAGCTACAGGCTCTAACTTCCAAAGCAAACCTGATAGGTGGGATGGAGCCAAGGCCTAGGAAGCTGGAGCTCTCTCTAATGCTCTGGAGCCTGCCCACCTCCTGAGATCTGGATCAGTCCCTGCCTCTTTTGGGGCCTCATTTTCCCAATTGTAATGTAATGAGAAATTAAATGTAAAATTGCATAAGCATATGCTCTGTGAGAATTTGGTGTCAGAGTCCTCAATACTGGATGATATATTTTGGTGGGAGGGGTTTGGGCCCCAGAGGTTCTCGGGACTCCTGACATATCCATTGCAGTAGGTGTAGAGCTCAGGAGATCCAGATCTTCTTTCCTGAGCCAGCTGATTACAATACAATGGACCACGGGCTATGATCTTAAATATGATTTCACAGGATTCCCCACCTTCAGCCACCATCTGCTCTGTGCTTCCCTTATTTTGGGGAGCTGATGACAACCTCCATTATAGTGAGAGAGTCCAAGAAACTAGACTTGTGGACCTGGAGAAAAGAAAAAAACACTTTTCTATTTCTCTCAAACTGTAGAATCTGTTGTCAAATATTTAATTTTGATTCCATCTGAGCTTGATAATACGTTCATGTGTTAAGAGCTGCTTAAATTTATTTTTTCTGTGGTGTGGGATAATGTCTTTTCCCATATTTTAAATCAACTTCTAAAAGCTCTCTTTAAAGTGGAGATGTGAACATCTTTGTGATATAAACTGCACATATTTGTTGCGAGATTGTTCTTTTTCTCTTTGTTAAAATGTTTTGTTTTATTCTGGTTTGGATGTCCTTCAGGGTTTTGTTTTGTGGCTATTTATTACTACAATGCAACTTCTCCCCTAATTGACTGACAGGTTTGTACATTCTCAATAAAATCTTTTGGTAAAGTCTTTGTAAAAACTGTGTAAACAATTTTACAGTTTTCATAAACATAAAACAGTCAAGACTGTCATGATGAAAAAGAAAGATTGAGGGCTTAAAAATTAAAATATGACACAGCTAAAGTAGTGTGCAAAGGGAAATTTATGGCACTAAATGCCCACAAGAGAAAGCAGAAAAGGTCTAAAATCGGCATCATAATATCACAATTAAAAATCTAGGGAAGCAAGAGCAAACAAATTCAAAAGCTAGCAGAAGACAAGAAATAATTAAGATCACAGCAGAACTGAAGGAGATAGACACACAAAAAGCCCGTCCAAAAAATCAACGAATCCAGGAGCTGTTTTTTTGAAAAGATCAAGAAATAAATAAACTGCTAGCCAGAGTAATAAGGAAGAAGAGAAGAATCAAATACATGCAATAGGAAATGATAAAGGGGATATAACCATTGATCCACAGAAATAAAAATTACCATTAGAGAATATTATAAAAAACTCTTTGCAAATTAACTAGAAAATCTAGACGAAATGGATAAATTCCTGGACACATATACCCTCCCAAGTCCAAACCAGTAAGAAGTCGAATGCCTGAATATGCCAATAACAAGTTCTAAAATTGAGGCAGTAACTAATAGCCTACCAACCAAAAGAAGTCCAGAACCAGAAGGATTCACAGCCGAATTCTACCAAAGGTACAAAGAGGAGCTGGTACCATTCCTTCTGAAACTATTTCAAACAATAGAAAAGAGGTACTCCTCCTTAACTCATTTTATGCATCCAGCATCATCCTGAAACCAAAACTTGGCAAAGACACACCAGAAAAAGAAAATTTCAGGCCCGTATCCCTGATGAATATCGATGCGAAAATCCTCAATAAAATACTGGCAAACCGAATCCAGCAGCACATCAAAAAGCTTATCCACCACGATCTAGTCAGCTTAATCCCTCGGATGCAAAGCTTGTTCAACATATGCAAATCAATAAATGTATTCCATCACATAAACAGAACTAATGACAAAAACCACATGATTATCTCAATAGATGCAAAAAAGGCCTTCAGCAAAATTCAACACCTCTTCATGGTAAAAACTCTCAATGAATTATGTATTCATGGAACTTATCTCAACATACTAAGAGCTATTTATGACAAACGCACAGCCAATATACTGAATGGGAAAAAACTTGAAACATTCCTTTTGAAAATCTGCACAAAACAAGAATACCCTCTCTCATCACTCCTATTCAATATAGTATTGGAAGTTCTGGCCAGGGCAATCAGTCAAGAGAAAGAAACAAAGCGTAATCAAATAGGAAGAGGAACTCAAGTTGTCTCTGTTTGCAGCTGACATGATTGTATATTTAGAAAACCCCATCGTCTCAGCCCAAAATCTCCTTAAACCAATATGCAACTTCAAAAAAGTCTCAGTATACAAAATCAGTGTTCAAAAATCACAAGAATTCCTATACACAATAATAGACAAACAGAGAGCCAAATCATGCATGAACTCTCATTCACAATTGTTACAAAGAGAATAAAATACCTAGGAATCCAACTTAAAAGGGATGGGAAGGACTTCTTCAAGGAGATCTACAAACCACTGCTCAAGGAAATAAGAGAGGACACAAACAAATGAAAAACAATCCGTGCTCATGGATAGGAAGAATCAATATTGTGAAAATGGCCATACTGCCCAAAGTAATTTATAAATTCAGTGTTATCCCCATCAAGCTCCCACTGACTTTCTTTACATAATTAGAAAAAAAACTACTTTAAATTTCATATGGAATCAAAAAAGATCCTGCATAGACAAGACAATCCTAAGCAAAAAGAACAAAAGTGGAGGCATCACACTAGCTATCTTCAAACTATACTAAAAGGCCACAGTAACCAAGACAGTATGGTACTGGTACCAAAACAGATATATTGACAAATGGAACAGAACAGAGGCCCCAGAAATAACATCAAACATCTACAACCATCTGATCTTTGATGAACCTGACAAAAACAAGTAATGGGGAAAGGATTCCTTATTTAATAAATGGTGTTGGGAAAACTAGATAGCCATATGCAAAAAAATGAAACTGGACGTCTTCCTTACTAGTTATACAAAAATTAACTGAAGATGGATTAAAGACTTAAATGTAAGACTTAAAACCATAAAAACCCCCCAAAAAACAAAGGCATTACCATTCAGGACATAGGCGTGGGCAAAGACTTCATGAATAAAACAGCAAAAACAATGGCAACAAAAGCCAAAATTGACAAACGAGATGTAATTAAAGTAAAGAGCTTCTTCACAACAAAAGAAACTATCATCAGAGTGAACAGGCAACCCACAGAAAGGAGAAAATTTATGCAATCTATCCATCTGACAATGGGCTAATATGCAGAATCTACAAAAAACTTAAGCAAATTTACAAGAAAAAAACAAACAACCATATCAAAAATGGGCAAAGGACATGAACAGACACTTCTGAAAAGAAGACATTTATGCAGCCAACAAACATATGAAAAAAAAACTCATCATCACTGGTCATTAGATAAATGCAAATCAAAAACACAGTGAGAAACCATCTCACTCCAGTTAGAATGGTGATCATTGGAAAAATCAGGAAACAACAGATGCTGGAGAGGATGTGGAGAAATAGGAACACTTTTACACTGTTGGTGAGAGTGTAAATTAGTTCAACCATTGTGGAAGACAGTATGGCAATTCCTCAAGGATCTACAATGAGAAATACCATTTGATCCAGCAATCCCATTACTGGGTATATAACCAAATGATTATAAATTATTCTACTACTTAGACACATGCAAACATATGTTTATTATGGCACTGTGCACAAGAGCAAAAACTTTGAACCAAACCAAATGCCCATCAGTGGTAGAATGAATAAAGAAAATGTGGCATGTATACATCATGGAATACAATGCAGTCATAAAAAGGATGAGTTCATGTCCTTTGCAGGGACATGGATGAAGCTGGAAACCACCATTCTCAGCAAACTAACACAAGAGTAGAAAAGCAAACATCACATGTTCTCTCTCATAGTTGGGAGTTAAACAAAGAGAACACAGGGACACAGGAAGGGGAACACCACACACTGGAGCCTGTCAGGAAGTGGGGGACTATGGGAGGGATAGCATTAGAAGATATATTCCTGGCCTAGGCCACTATTGCGATTTTCTAAATTTTGTTTCAAAAACATGATGTTTCAAAAATTGTTATTGATATGTAATTATACAAATATATAGTTCAGAAAAAAGAATCAACATTAATTATGCTTTTTCCAAAATACTTTATGGTTTTGAGCTCTTCTAGCAGTGACATTTTTGCTGTAGGTAGTTGCTCTATATCTGGTATATTCATCATAGCATCCTTTGTACCCTTTACACTTATCCTTCAATTTCCCACTCTCCTTAAGTGTAAATTTTCAAGGCCAGAGCTCCCATATCTTCCCAATATTACTTTTTGAAAAGAAGCTCCTATGTACTGTTTTGTCTGGGTCTTGTTGGATATAATGCTAAAAGAGCTGGAAAATAATAATTTTTTAAAAAATTCGGTGATGAAATTAAGGTAAATATATTTTATAAATCTAATGAACAAAATGAGGCCAGCTGAGAACACAATGATAGTTGAAGAAGAACCTGAGATCCTGTTTCTCTCAATGGATGTATGAACTTAACTGCAATTGGGTGAGCAAAGCCAGTTGAGTTTGTAGCACCCCTCATGAGAAAAAAGCCAACCATAACCACATTTAGAAGAAAGAAAATTTGGTTACATTTCTGCACTAAAGAACAGTGCAGTTAGATAAAATTCTGTCCATTCCATGATTCTCCCTCGGGAAAGAAAACAGAGTGAAACGTGTATGCAAACTTCTGACTTATTGATTTATACCTTTAACATTTAGTGTTGACCAGAATAGAGATAGAGTTTAAATGACAGCTTGGGTCGACTGAGAATAAAGATAAATATTTCTTACAACAAAGAGACTGTAGTGCCTGCAACAGTGACAAAGAGAAGAGACTAAAGGCTCCTAAGAGGAAAGAGAGGTAAACCTTATTAACAAGAAAATACATACAGTACAAAGAAGACACATTTTGACAACAGATTGGAGAAGCTCCCGGAATGACTAGTGTGGCTGAATATTGTCAATTTTCCCATGTACAAAGCTTTTTCATAAAGGATAAAATAGGTAGTGGTTTCTTAATTGACCAAAACCTTAACAAAACCACAGTACATAAAAGCAACCAGGAAATATAGCCTAATGAAACGAGAAAAATATATATTCAAGTGACCCTAAAGAAGTGGAGATCTATGAATTATTTTTTAACTTAAAATCATTTTATTTTTCTTTATTTTTTCATTTTATACACAGGATCTTACTCTATCTCCTGGGACAGATTGCAGTGGTGCAATCACAGCTCACTGTAACCTCAAATTTCTGAAGTAAAGCAGTCATGCCTCCTATGTCTCCTGAGTAAATATGACCACAGTTGGGCACACTACCACACCTGTATAGTTTCTTTAAAAGAATCTGTACAAACAGAATGTTGTTATGTTGCCTCGGCTGGTCTCAAACTCCTGGTCTCAGGCAATCCTACTGCCTCAGTCTGAAAGTGCTGGCATGAGCCACCATACCTGGAATTGTTTCTCTTTTAAGAAAAAAGGACTTTAAATCATTAATAGTAAAATAAAACAAAGAAAGGCATTGCATAACGATAGAGAGTTCAATTCAACAAGAAGACTTAACTATCCTAAATATAGATGCACCCAACTTTGGGGAACATAGAGTTATACAACAAGTACTGCTAGACCTACAATAAGACTCAAGTAGCCACGCAATAATAGTAGGGAAACGCAACTCCCCAATAACAGTGTTTGTCAGATTATCTAGGCAGAAACTTAACAAAGAAATTCTGGAGTTTGATTTCGCACTTGATCAATTGAAACTAATAGACATTTATAGTATACACCACACATCATCTAAGGAACATAAATTCTTCTCATCGCTCACAGAATATACTCTAGGATTGACCACTTCCTAGCCATAAAGCAATTATCCATACATTTTTTAAAAATGAAAATTATGCCAACCATACTGTCAGGCCACAATGGAAAAAAGATAAATATCAATACCAACAAAATCTCACAAAATCACAGAATGGCATTGAAATTAAACAACTTGCTCCTGAATGAATTTTGGGTAAACAACAAAATTGAGGCAGAAACTTAAAAAAAATTTGAAATAAATGAAGAGACACAATATACTAAAATGTCTGGGTTGTAGGAAAAGCTCTGTTAAGAGGAAAGTTGAGAGTGCTAAATATCTGCATCAAGAAGTTAGAATGATCTCAAACTAACAATTTAACATCACACTTAGAGAAACTAGAAAAACAAAAACAAACTAACCCCAAAGCTGGCAGAATGGCAAAAATATTCACAACCTATAAACCTGACAAAATCTAATACTCAGAATCTATAAGAAACTTAAAGAATTCACAAGCAAAAAATTACCCCATGAAAAAGTGGGCAATAACAGACAATGTTCAAAAGAATACATACAAGTGGCCAAACAACATGAAAAAAGCTTATCACTAACCATCAAGGAAATGTAAATAAAAACCACAGTAAGACACCATCGTACACCAGTTAGAATGGCTTTTGTTAAAAAGTAAAATGATAGTAGATATTGGTGGGGTTTTAGAGGGAAAAAACCACTTATACACTGTTTATAGGAATATAAATTAGTTCAGCCACTGTGGAGAGCAGCTTGGAGATTTTCCAAATAACTGAGAGTTGAACTATGATTCAACGCAGAATTTCACCGCTGGGTGTATACCCAGAAGAGAATAAACTATTCTACCAAAACAGCACATGCACTTGTTGGTTCATCACTGCATTATTTATAACAGGAAAGACATGAATCAACCTACGTGACTATTAATGGTATTTTTTTTTTTTGAGATGAAGTCTCACTCTGTTGCCCAGGCTGGAGTGCAGTGGCACTATCTCAGCTCACTACAACCTCCACCTCCCAGGTTCAAGCAATTCTCCTGCCTCAGCCACCCGAGTAGCTGGGACTACAGGCTCATGACAACACGTCCGGCTAACTTTTGTATTTTCAGTAGAGACGGGGGTTTCATTATGCTGTCCAGGATGGTCTCGATCTCCTGACCTCATGATCCACTCACCTTGGCCTCCCACAGTGCTGGGATTACAGGCATCAGCCACCGTGTCCAGCCTATTAATGCTAAATTGAATTTAAAAAGTGTCACATGTACAGCAATACTACTTAGCAAAAACAACAACAACAAAAAAAAAACTTGTCCTTTGCAGCAACATTAATACAACTAAAGGTCATTCTACAATCAAATTAATGCAGAAATGGAAAACAAAAATACTGATGTTCTCACTTATAAATGGAAATTAACACTGGGTACACATGGACATAAAAATAAAAATAAAAGACAACTCTTAGAGGGTGGAGAGAGGGAGGGATCAAGAACTGAAAAACTGTCTATTTAGTACTATGCTCACTGCATAAGTGATGGAATTACTTATATTTCAAACCTCAGCACTATACAAAATACCCATGTAAAAAACCTGTGTAGGTACCTCCTAAATCTAAAACAAATTTGAAATTCTAAAAGGCGGTCTTACTCTCTCACCCAGACAGGAATACAATATCATGGTTATAACTCAATGCAGCCTCAAATTCCTGGGAACTCAAGGAATAATCTTACATCAGCCTCCAACTTCCTGAGACTACAGGAACATTCCACCATTCATGATTAATCTGTAAAAATATTTTTTACATATAGCTTCTCACAATATTGCCCAGGGTGGTCTGAAACTCCTAGCCTTAAGTAATTGATATGGTTTGGCTCTCTGTCCCCAACCAAATCTCATCTTGAATTGTAATAATCTCCACATGTCCTGGGAGGGACCCTGTGGGAGGTAATTGAATCATGGGGGTGGGATTTTCCCATGCTGTTCTCATGATAGCAAAAAAGTCTCACGTGATCTGATGGTTTTATAAGTGGAGATTCCCCTGAACAAAGTCTCTTGTTTGCTCCAATAATTGTGAGACCTCCCCAGCCATGTGAAACTGTGAGGCCATTAACCTTTTTCATTATGAATTATCCAGTCTTGGTTATGTCTTTATTAGCTGCATGAGAATTTATTAATACAGTAATCCCCTTGCCTTAGCTTTCAAAGTAGCTGGAATTAGACACACATATCAATGTGCCTGGCTAAAACACCTAGCTTAAAGATGCTCATTCAGCTAAAGAAGAACATAGAAAGCTAAACAGAAAAAGAAAACAATTCATGAAGATAATGAGATTATCAATGAAGTGATTAAAAGTACAAAATAGAAACATAAAGTGTGGAGCTGAAAAATAAAATACCTGAATTTAGAGATTCACTAGAAGGTCCAACAACTGGTTTGATCTAGCAGGAAAAAATCCAGCAAGCTTCATAAGAAGTCTTTTGAAATTATATGGTGAGGAGGGTAAAAATAATTTTAAAAATTAAGAAAGCCTAAGGGACTTATGGGATACCATTAAGATGGCCAATATACTTCTAATGGGAATTCTAAAATAAAAAGAGAGAAAAGAGAGCAGCAAAGTTATTTCAAGAAACAAACAGTGGCTGAGAACTCTCAAAATTTGAGGGAGAAAATGGCCTAAAATTTAATGAAACTTTACCAACTAGTAGCAACACAGGGAGACCCATGACAAGACACATTTTAATCAGAGATTCAAATGTTAAAACACCGAGAATCTTGAAGTCAGCAAGAAAAAATGACTTAGCATGTACAATGTTACCCCTATAGGATGACCAGCAGATGTCTCAGCCAATAGCATGCAGGCAAGAGGTTGTAGGATGACATACTCAAAGTGCTGAAAAAAATGGCAAGTACCAACCAAGAACACTATGTCTGCCAAAGCTATCATTTCAAATGAATTAAAAAATAAAAATAAAGAATATTCAAGATCAACGAAAACTGTATTAATTTATGCACGGTAGGCCTGTATAAAAAAATGCTAGTCATTGACATTAAAAAATAAAATAATGATGAGAGCAACATAGAATTATGTAAAATATAAAGTTTTCTAACAGATAATTATGTACACAATTATAATATTTTTGTTATTATAATGAAGATGCACAGAATACTTTTAATTCTGCTATGTAGTTGAGATAACAAAGACTTAAAAATGACTATATAACTGTGCCAATAGATTCACAATACAAAATGATGTAATTCGCGACATCAATAAAACACATAGGCAGCCATAAAGAGGCAGGGTTTTATATGCTATAGTAGTTATTTTTGGTAATATCTATAGTAACAACAAAGAAAATACCTATAGTACTTAGGATTTTGAGACTAGTCTGGGCAACATGGCAAAACCCTGTCTCTATGAAAAATAACAAAAATTAGCCAGGAGTACTGGTGCACATCTGTGGTCCCAGGTACTCAGAAGGCTGTGGTGGGAGGATTGTTTGAGTTGAGCCTGAGAGGCAGAGCTTGCAATAAGCAGATATTGTGCCACTGCCCTCCAGCCTGGGCGACAGAGCAAGACCCTGTCAAAAAAAAAAAAAAAAAGGAAATACCTATAGTACACACACACAAAGACATACACACAGAGAGAGTAGTGAGAAAAGAAGTAAAACATGTCACTATAAAAATCAATAATATGCTAAGAAAGAGAACAAGAGAGAAAAACAGGAAATAATAGCTACAGGACCGGCCAGGAGCGGT
This sequence comes from Homo sapiens, assembly GCF_000001405.40. Taxonomy (NCBI): domain Eukaryota; kingdom Metazoa; phylum Chordata; class Mammalia; order Primates; family Hominidae; genus Homo; species Homo sapiens. The sequence goes on from NW_021160013.1 coordinate 138,596, forward strand.
GGCTCACGCCTGTAATCCTAGCAATTTGGGAGGCCGAGGTGGGTGGATCAACGAGGTCAGGAGATTGAGACCATCCTGGCTAACACAGTGAAACCCTGTCTCTACTAAAAAAAATAAACAAATAAAAATAAAAATAGCCGGGCATGGTGGCGGGTGCCTGAATTCCCAGCTGCTGGGGAATCTGAGGCAGGAGAATGGCGTGAATCCGGGAGGCGGAGCTTGCAGGGAGCCAAGATTGCACCACTGCACTCCAGCCTGGGCAACAGAGCAAAACTCCGTCTCAAAAGAAAAAGCTACAGGACCTAAAACAAAAAAGAAACAAAATTAAATAGAAAGTCATAGGAAATCATTCCCTTTTAGTAATGATTTTTTATATATATAAATTATGTCAATCAAAAACATACTTTCACTAAATAAATTCATGAAACAAGATTCAACTCTCTGCTTCCTACAAATGACCACATTATGATCTGGAACACGCATAAGCCATACATGAAAGAATAAAAAAAATTAAATGCAAAATCAAATACTGTCATGGTAGACAAAATATATATTATATCAAAAACTTCCTCAAGAGAGAAGAAGAAAAGGACAATAACAACAACAACAATAAAAGCAACAAAAAACAACATATATCAATAAAAGCAACAACAATAAAACAACATGCAACAATAAAAGCAACAGTAATGTATGTGCCTTACATCACAGTTCCCAAAATATGAAGCAACATTTTACAGAATTGAAACATGAAGTAGCCAGCACATAACAGTAGATGACTTTTTTATCAGACTTTTAGTAATGTAAATTAAAAAACAAACATAAGATGAATAAGTAAACAGAGGATTTCAACAACACAATAGAACAATTAGACCTAACAGTCACATTTATATCTCTCCACTCAACAGTAGAATATGCAATACTTTTAATCACACATGCCACAATATTCCAGATAGACCACCTGTTAAGTTAAAAAACACATCTTAGCAAATTTCAGCAGATGGAATTACACAAATTATTCCTAACTATGATACAATAAAACAAGAAGTTAAAAACACTAACATGTCAAAGAATAAGTAAAAATTAAACAACAAATTCTCAAACACACTCTTGTTCAAGAGGTTATAGACTTAATATTGTTAAAATGTCACTACTACCAAAAGTGGTCTACGGATTCAATGTTCTTTCTTTTCTTTTCTTTCTTTTTCTTTTGAGACGGAGTTTTGCTCTTGTTGCCCAAGGTGGAGTGCAATGGTGTGATCTCAGTTCACTGCAGCCTCCACCTCCTGGGTTCAAGCTGTTCTCCTGCCTCAGCCTCCTGAGTAGCTGGGAATACAGGCATGTGCCACCACACCTGGCTAATTTTGTATTTTTAGTAGAGATGGGGTTTCTCCATGGCTGGTCTGGAACTCCTGACCTCAGGTGTTCCACCTTCCTCAGCCTCCCAAAGTGCTGGGATTACAGGCATGAGCCACAACCCTCAGCTGATTCAATATACTTTCTATCAAAATACCAATGAAACTTTTTGCAGAAGTTTTAAAATATTCTACAATTTTTATGGAATTTCAAGTGATCACAAACAGCCAAACAATATTGGGAAAAAAATATAAAGACAGAGGCATCATACTTTCTATTTTCTAAACATACTATGAACATATAGTAATCAAAACAGTTTGGTACTGACATAAAGACAAATGAATGATGAAACAGATGAGAGAGTCCAGACATAAGTCCTCATGGGTATAGTAAACATATTTTTAAAATGTGTTCCAAGAATCACAAAAAGGAAAGAACAGTCTCTTCAACAAACAGTATTGGGAATAATAAAAATTTACAAGGAAAAAATAACAAAGTTAGACCTTAACTTGCAACAGATAAAAACATAAACTCAAGGCTGGGTGTGGTGGCTCACACCTGTAATCCCAGCACTTTGGGTGACTGAGACAAGTGAATCACAAGGTCAGGATATCAAGACCATCCTGGCCAACATGGGGAAACAACGTCTCTACTAAAAATACAAACAAAAATTAGTTGGCGGTGGTGGCACATGCCTGCAGTTCCAGACACTCAGGAGGCTGATGCAGGAGAATCTCTGGAATCCGGGAGGCAAGAGTTTCAGTGAGCTGAGATCATGTCACTGCGCTCCAGCCTGGTGACAGAGAAAGACTCCACCACAAATAAAGAAATAAACTCAAAATAACTAATTTTTGGTAGCTATTAAAATGGAATTTATAATTTTATTTTTCAGATAGTTCGCTATCATCATACAGAAAGCTACTACTGTGTTAATTTTCTGCAATGTTACAGAATTTGTTTAGTAGTTCTAATAGTTTTTGGTGTAGTGTTTAGAGTTTTTCACATATAAGATTATTTTGTCCACAATCAGAGACCATTTGACTTCATCCTTTCAATTAGTATGACTTTTATTTCTTCCTCTTGCCTAATTTCCTTGGCTAGGACTTCCAGTACTATGTTGAATAAGAGGGCTGAAAGTTTGGACGATTTGTCTTGTTCCAGATCTCAGAGAGAAAGCTTTCAACTTTTCCTTATTCAGTATAAAGTTAGCATTGCTTTTTCATAAATGGCCTTTATTGAGTTAAGGCACATACCTTCTATTCCTAACTTGTTGAGAGTTTTCATCATAATCAAGGCTGAATTTCATCCAATTCTTCTTCTGCATATGCAAAAGCTACAAAAATGAAAATACTTAATGTGATGGCTAATACAGGGTGTCAAATTGATTGGATTGGAGGATAGAAAGCATTGATCCTGGGTGTGTCTGTGAGGGTGTTGCCAAAGGACATTAACATTTGAGTCAGTGGGCTGGGAAAGGGAGATCCACTCTTAATTGGGTGAGCACCATCTAATGAGCTGACAGTGAATATAAAGCAGGCAGAAAAACGTGAAAAAGAGAGACTGGCCTAAGCTCCCAGACTACATCTTTCTCCTGTGCTGGACACTTGCAGCCCTCAAACATCAGACTCCAAGTTCTTCAGCTTTGGGACATGGACCGCCTCTCCTTGCTCCTCAAACTTGCAGACAACCAACCTATTGTGGGATCTCATGATCTCTCTAGGGAAGCCCAACTAATACACCTAGCAACAAACTTAACTAAAAAGGTAAAAGATCTCTACTCTGAAAACGACAAAACATGGATAAAAAATATAAAATACAAATGAATAAATAAAAAATATTGTGTTTATACACTGGAAGAATACTGTTGATATAGCTACCCAAAGTGATCTACAGACTTAATGTGATTTTTATCAAAATACCAATGACATTTTTTCACAGAAATAAAAAAATTTAAATTTATATGGATCCACAAAAAACTCTGAATAGACAAAGCAACTTTGAGCAAAATAAGCAAAGCTGAAGGCATCACTTCATCAAACTTCAAAACTTGCTATAAAGCTACAGTAACCAAAACAGCACTGTACTGGCATAAAAACAAACACATAGACTAATATGCCCAATAAGCCCGGAAGTTAATTTATGCACCTAAAGCCAACAGATTGTCAACAAAATTACCAAGAACACACTTTAGAGAAAAGCTAATCTCTTTAATAAATGGTGCAGGGCCATTTAAATATTTATATTCAGAAAAATAATACTAGACCCTTGTACCTTGCCATATATGATAATCAACTAAAACTAAAGACTTAAATGTAATGCCATCAATTATGAAACTATTAGAGAAAAACATAAAAAAATGCTTTATAACATTGGACGGTGAAAGGATTATTAAAATAAGATTTCAAAACATGGGCAACAAAATCAAGAATAAACAAACAACATTATGTCAAACTAAAATGCTTTTTCATATTAAAAAAACAACTAAAAGTTTGAAGAGACAGCTTAGGCGATGACAGAAAATGTTTTCATATACATGTGACAAAAGGCTAATATTCAGAATATATAAGAAACTTTAAAATCTCAAAATAAAATACACTTATAATCTAATTTAAAAAATGCAAAAGATCTTAATAGATGTTTGTCAAAAAGAGATACAAAAATGGCTAACTGGAACACAAAAAGATGCTCTACATTACTAATCACCAAGGAAATGCAAATCCAAACTGCAATGAAGTACCACCTCATTCCCATTAGAATGGCTATAATAAAAATAAATAAATAAATAAATCAAGAACTAATGAGGATATAAAAAAGAGTGGATGTATACCTTGTTGGTGGAATTGTAAATTAGTATGGCCATTATAGAAAATAGTATGGAGGTTTCTGAAAGAAATTAAAAATATATCTATTATATGATCCAGCAATTTTACTTCTGGGTGTATATCCAAAAGAAAGGATATTACTGTGTCAAAAAGATATTTGCATTCCCATGTTCATTACAGAACTATTTATAATAGCTTATATATGGAATCAATTCAAATGTACAGCAACAGATAAATGGATAAGGAAAATGTACTATATATACACAGCGAAATACTATTCAGCCATAAGAAAGCATAAAATTCTGTCAGTTAAAAAGAGCATGGATGAACCTTGAGCATACCATGTTAAGTAAAATAAGCCACACAGAGAAACACAAATACTTTATGATCTTATTATCTCACTCATTTGAGGAACCTGAAAAAAAGGGTTGATAGAAGCAAAGAGTACAACAGGGGTTACCAGAGACTGAAGCAGGAGGATGGGAAAAGTCTGCTTCACAGGTATTGTGTTATGATTAGATAGGGGAAATAAGTTTTTGTTTTTTATTACACAGTAGAATAATAATAATTAATGAAAAGTTATCTCATATTACAAAATAGCTAAAAGAGACCAGTTTTGGTGGCATATTCTTGCAATCCATACATTTTGGGAGATTGAGGTAGGAGAATCACTTGACGTCAGAAGTTCAAGATGAGCCTGGACAACATAGTGTGACCCCGTCTGTATGAAAAATTAAAACATTAGCCAGGCATGGTGGCAGCTTCTTGTAGTCTCAGCTAATTGGGAAACTAAGGTTAGAAGACTGTTTGAAGTTACAGTGAGCTAGGATTGCACCACTGCACACCAGTCTGGGTGTTAGAGCAAGATCCTGTCTCTAAAATAATTAATACATAAAGATAAAATAAAATAGCTAGAGAAGGAGCTTTTGAATATTCTCACCACAAAAATAACAAATGCATGAGGCAACAAATATAGAAGTACTGATTTTTATTGTTATACAACACATATATATAATTGTTTCCCCAAAATATGCACAATTACATGTGTCAATTTTAAAAAATGAATGAAGACTATAATGTAAAACCTATAGCTGTAAAATTCCTAGCACAATACAGAAGGGTGAAGCTTCATTACAACTGGTCGTGGCAATAATTTGGGGGACGTAGCATCAACGGATGAGACAACAAAAGCAAGGGAATACACATGGTACTGAATCAGTGTATGAAAAATATCCCAAACAGACAAAGCAGAACATGGAATAGATATATGCACATTGTAGTATTACTCACAAACATGTTACCTGGAAGCAAATGTACCCTTAAGGATGAGTAGATTCAGCAAACAGGGCACGTACAATCACTGGGATAGCATTCAGCCTTAAAAATAAGGAAATCTTGAAAAGTACTACAATAAGGACAAATCTTCAAAACATTCTGTTAAGTAAAATAAGACAGTCAAAAAGGAAAGCTGTATAATTACACTCATGTAAAATATTTAGTCAAACTCAAAGAAACCAAGTGTCGTAGTCTCAGCAGTGCACCAAGATGTAACAGTCTCTCGTAGTCTGAGATAACATCCAGAGTTCTTTGTTCTACCTCTAAGGAGATTAAGGAGCGTGAACACAAAGGTGAGGTTGGAGTGAAAGTTTAAGAAGCAAGAGAAGAAAGCTCTTTGCCAGCAGAGATAGGTGTCTGAAAGTGGTGCCCTCTACGAGGCTGGGTCCAGGGTTTTTATGGACTGGGAAGGGAAGGATATGTGCCTAGTTCACAGGCTGTCTTGAAAAACGTGTGGCTCAGCTTGGCCCAGGCCTTTGGCCCGGGATCAATCAGGAGCTGAAGGGATGATTGATAGATGCTGCTTAGCTTGGCCCAAGACTTATCAGAAGCTAAGGTGAAAGTTTGGCCAAGGAGCTTGGCCCGGGAGCACTCAGGGGCTGAAGTAATTATTCATAGAGGTCAGACTTACAGTCCAAATAAACGAGAGTGTCGACCGGAATGCACCAGATCCCACAGTGCCCATGCCAACAAAAAGAGAAGGAACATTTTCCTGGGAGCCCACTGACTGTACAAAGACAAAAGTGCTTCTTTTTTTTCTTTTTCTTGTCTTTCTTTTTTTTGAGATGTACTTTCTTTTTTTATTTATTTTTATTTTTTTTTGCAGTTTTGCTCTTGTTGCCCAGCCTGGAGTGCAATGGTGCGATCTCGGCTCACAGAAACCTCCGCCTCCTGGGTTCTAGCGATTCTCCTGCCTCAGCCTCCCAAGTAGCTGGGATTATAGGCATGCAGCACCATGCCTGGCTAGTTTTGTATTTTTAGTAAAGACAGAGTTTGTCCATCTTGGTCATGCTGGTCTCAAACTCCCGACCTCAGATGATCCGCCCACAGCTGCCTCCGACATTGTTGGAATTACAGGCATGATCCACCGTGCCTGGCCAAACAAAGGCATTTCTATGCTAGGTCGTTCTTGTTCCTTTATCTGAGTGAGCTGGAGGTTTCTACAAGTTTTTATCCAAATGGGCCAGAGGTTTTTCTATCTGTGCAGCCACGGGCATGTCCCCAAGCACAACAACATATGCTAGTTCCCTTGTTAGTGTCTGCAGCTTGATTTTTTCCAGGCTTCTTTATATGTTATGCAGGGATGAGGCACTGACCAGGGACTTTCCAGGGACTCTTCTCTTGCTATCTACCTAAGGCAAGCTAACTAACTTCTTTCATAAGTAATGAGTATTCACTTTTACTTTTGTAAGACACAAATTATCTAAAACCTACTGCAAAACAATAGAACTATACTAACCACTTCTAAACCATATACTTAAAATGTCAGAAATGACAATGGCATGTTTTTAACTACAATTAGAAATTTAAGACTAACTAAAAGGCACAGTTAGAAAATCTTTCAAACATCACCTTCAAATAACAAAGGGTTCTTCTCACACAATTATATGGATTTAAACTATATGTTGATTGTAAATTTAAGATTATTTCCCTGATGACTCACCAAGATAGAATAAAATAATCACTGGAAACCAAGAAAAGAGGGAAATTTATAGCACTAATGTCCACATCAAAAAGATAGAAAGGGCTGGGTGTGGTGGCTCATGCCTGTAGTTCCAGCACTTTGGGAGGCTGGGGTAGGCAAATCACTTAAGGCCAGATGTTCAAGACCAGTCTGGACCACACAACAAAACCCCACCTCTACAAAAAAAATTCAAAAATTAGCTGGTTTTTGTGATGCACATCTGTAATCCCAGCTACTCAGGAAGCTGAGACAGCAGAAATCACTTAAAACTGAGAAGTGGAGGTTGCAGTGAGCGGAGATCATGCCACTGTACTCCAGCCTGGGTGACAGAGTGAGACTCTGCCACAAGAAGAAAAAAAAGAGAAACTAAAAGATCTAAAATTAACAGCCTAACATCTTGATGAAAAGAACTAGAAAACCAAGTGAAAACTAACCAGAAAGGTAGCAGAAAACAAGAAATAACCAAGATCAAAGTAGAGCTGAGGGAGATAGAGACACTGAAAACTCTTCCAAAAAAAAAAGTCAACAAATCCAGGAGCTGTTTTTATGAAAAAAATTAATAAACTAGATGGAACACTAGCTAGGCAAATAAATAAGAAAAGAAAGGAGAACCAAACACAATTAGAAATAATAAGGGAGATATCATCACTGATCCCATGGAAATATGAACAACAATCAGAGAACACTATAAACATATGTATGCACATAAACCAGAAAATCTAGAAGAAATAGACAATTTCCTTGCAAAATAAACCCTCCACAAGACTGAACCCTGAATAGATCAATAATGTGTTCTGAAACTGAGGCAGTAAAAACTAGCCTACCAAGCAAGCTGAATTTGAGCAGAGGTACAAAGAGGAGATGGTACCTTTTCTCCTAAAACCATCCAAAAAAAATTGAAGACAAAGAAGTTCTCTCTAACTCATTCTATCAGGCCAGCATCATCCAGATACCAAAACCTAACATAGATACTACAACAACAACAACAACAACAACACATCATGCCAATGTCTTTGGTAAACACTGTGCAAAAATCCTCAATAAAATACTGGCAAAACAAATCCAGCAGCACATTAAAAAGTTCATCCGCAACAATGGAGTTGGCTTTGTCCCCAGGATGCAAGGTTGATTCAACATATGCAAATCAATAAATGTGACTCATCACATAAAGAGAACTAAATACAAAAACCACATGATTATCTCAATAAATGCAGAAAAAGCATCCAATAAAATTCAGCATTCTTTCAGGTTTAAAATTCTCAATAAACTAGGAAGTGAAGAAACATACCTGAAAATAATAAGAGCCATATACAACAAACCCACAGCCAATATCATACTGAATGTGCAAAAGCTAGAAACGTTCCACCTGAAAACTGGCACAAGAAAAGAATGCCCTCTTTCACCACTACCATTCAATATAGTATCAGAAGCCTTGGCCAGGAAAATCAGGCCAGAGGAAGAAATAAAGAGTATTCTAATAGAAAGAGAGGAAGTCAAATTATCTTTGTTTGCAGATGACCTGATCCTACATCTAGAAAACCTCATTGTCTCAGGCCCAAAGCTTCTTAAGGTGATAAGCAACAGTAGCAAAATCTCAGGATATAAAATCAATGTGCAAAAGTAGCTAGCATTCCCATGCACAAACAACAGGCAAGCAGGGAGACAAATCATGAATGAACTTTCATTCACATTTGCTACAAAGAGAAAAAAATACCTAGGAATACAGCTAAGAAAGAAAGTGAAGGACCTCTTCAAGGAGAACCACAAACAACTGCTCAGAGAAATCAGAGTGGACACAAAACAGATGGAGAAATATTCCATGCTCATGGAGAGGAAGAATCAGTATCATGAATATGGGCATATGGCCCTAAGTAATTCATAGATTCAATGCTATTCCCATTGAACTACTGACATTCTTCAGAGAATTAGAAAAATAAAAACTTTTAAAGTTCATATGGAACCAAAAAAGAGCCCAAATAGCCAAGCCAACCTTAAGAAAAAAAAAAAAAAGCTGGAAGTGTCACTCTACCTAACTTCAAACTATACTAGAAGAGTACAGTAACAAAAACAGCATGGTACTGGTATAGAAACAGACACATAGACAAATGAAACAAAGTAGAGAACCTAGAAATAAAGCCAAAAACCTACAACAACCTGATCTTTGACAAAGTTAACAAAAACAAGGAATTAGGGAAAGGTGTCCCTATTCAAAAAATGGTGCTAGGAGAACTGGCTAGCCATATGCAGAGAATTTAAACTGGAACCCTTCTTAACACCATGTACAAAAATTAACTCAAGATGGATTAAAGACTTAAATGTACAACCCAAAACTATAAAACCCTTAGAAGAAAAAATCTAGATAATACCATTCAGGATATAGGCATGAGAAAAGACTTTATGACAGAAAGGCAAAAAGCTATAGCAACAAAAGCAAAAATTGACTAATGGGGTCTAATTAAACTAAAGAGCTTCTGCGGAGCCAAAGAAACTATCATCAGAGCAGACAACCTAGAGAATGGGAGAAAAATTATGCAACCTATCCATCTCACAAATGTCTAATATCCAGAATCTAGGAGGAATTTAACAAAATTTACAAGAGAAAAAAAAAAGGCCCCATTAAAAAAGGGTCAAAGAACATGAACAGACATATCTCAAAAGAGGACATACATGTGCCCAACAAACATGAAAAGCTCAACATCACTGATAACTGCATAAATACAAATCAAAACCATAATGAGATACCATCTCACACAAATTATAATGGCTATTAATAAAAAGTAAAAAAAAAAAAACAGATGCTGGCGAGGTTGTGGAGAAAAGGGAACACTTTTACACTGTTGGTGGGAGTGTAAATTATTTCAAGCATTGAGGAAGAGAGTGTGGAGATTCCTCAAAGACCTAGAAGCAGAACTACCATTTGACCCAGCAATACCATTACACCCAAAGGAATATAAATAATTCTATTTTAAAAATACATGTATACAAATGTTCATTGCAGCACTATTTACAATAGCAACATCATGTAATCAATCTACATGCCCATCAATGATACACTGGATAAAGGAAATGTGGTACACATACACCATGGAACACTATGAAGCCATAAAATGTAATGAGATGATGTCCCTTGCAGGGACATGGTTGGAATTTGAAGCCATTACTCCCAGCAAACTAATGCAGGAACAGAAAACCAAACACCGCCTATTATTATTCTAACTTATTAGCAGAAGCAGATCAATGAGAACACATGGACACATCAGGAAGAACAACACACACTGGACACCTGTTTCATGGCATGGGGGAGGGGAAGGAGAGCATCAGGAAGAATAGCTGCGGATGCTGGGCTTGGTACCTGGGTGATGAGATGATCTGTGCAGTAAACCACAGTGGTACGCATTTATGTATGTAAGAGACCTGCATACTCTGCACATGGACCCCTAAACTTAAAATAAAAGTTGAAAAATAAACTTTATCACATATGGACCCCTGAACTTAAAATAAAACTTGAAAAAAAATGTGTTTCTGGTGGATTCTCTATGTTAGACCCAAACTGAGGATCTTGAAGCTCTCGCTGGGGGAATCGGGGATGGGGGCACACTGGGGAGCCGCTGCCAAGGCCAACCACCCTCCCTACAAGCCACCTCCCTTCCCGGCCAGTATGGAAAGGAGAAGGGGTATGTGAACAGCTGTGGAGGTCAGAATCTCGGGAACTGAATCAGGCCCCAGCCCATGCCCCCCAGCCCAGCCCTCAGGATTGTTAGATGGAACAAGGCTCCATCATCACCCAGGCATGGAGGGAAGATGCCCTGGTCCTTACCAAACAAGGCCTGGTTTCCAAAGTCCTCTCCGAAGAGGCCTCATGTTTGCCACATCTTAAAAGTCCCCTTTCTGCTGTTCTTGCACCCAGCATGTTGGACAGTCAAGTTCCCCCGCTGAGCAATCCACACATAAGGAGGGAGTCAACACCATTGCTATGTCGGATCAGCTCCAGCGTCTCCAATATCAGTTTTATCAGATCCCAGGAACCTGCCTGCTCCCAGAGGTGACAGAGAAAAATCAAGGAAGGATCTGTATGGTCACTGACCTGGATGAAACCCTTGTGCATAGCTCCTTTAAGCCAATCAGCAATGCTGACTGCCTAGTGCCTGTAGAGCTTGAGGGGACCATGCACCAGATCCATGTGCTCATGAGGCCTTATATGGATGAGTTCCTGACATGAATGGAGGAAATGTTTAAATGTGTTTTCGTCATTGCTCTCTTCTTCCCAGCCTGAACAAGTAGGCAGATCCTGTGACGGGTGAGCTGGACGGGTATGGGATGGTCTGGGGCTGCCTGTCCCATGAGTCATGTTTGTTTCACCAGGGCTGCTATGTCAAGGACGTCAGCCATCTGGGGAGGGACCTGAGGAAAACTCATCCTGGACAACTCGCCTGCTTCTTACATCTTCCACACAGAGAATGCAGTGCCTGTGCAGTCCTGGTTTGATAACATTCCAGACAGCAGCTGCTGCACCTGATATCATTATTTGAGGAGATGAGTGGAGGAGCAGAGGGTGTCTACACTAGCCTTGGGCAGCAGTGGGCCCTTAACCTTCCCTGCTTCCCAGCAATGGCCATCACAGTAGGGGATTTTCCCACACTGTGCCTTTATGAACAGCCTGAAAGAGTGAAGGCTGGAACACCTACCCACATGGGCCTGGAAACAGTGAGAAGTGATTGAAAAGAGCTTTAGGACAGCTTAGATGCCCAGTGGGTGAATGCCAGACCAAGGATACCCAGAGCTACCTGCCATCAAGTTGTTGGGTTCCCGAGATGGGGGTGTGAGAGAAAGAAAGACAGCATGTGTGTTTTGTTATGAACTGTGGCCCCAAGTATATAGTGTTTCAGTAGAGGAGAAGCTGAAGGACAAAGACTCTTCCCAAGCTAGCTTGTCTCCTCTCCTGTCACCCTATGAGCCCCTGAGATCCATAGGGATGAAGAGTATTGAAGGCTCCGTTGCAAACCTGGTCTTTCTTCAGTGCTGCAAGGCCTATGCCAAGGAGAAAGGAAAGGTATGCCTTTGGGTGTTCCAGGCACACATCTTTCTGAAATATTTCTCCAGCCAGTTGTTGCAGACAAAAGACGACATTTCTGGGAAGATGGGGACTTATGTCCAGACGAGTACCCAAACTATCAGGTCTTCTGGCCCAAAGGCTATTTTTACTTACCTCTAGCCAAGTGCCTGGGATGGATCCTTTCTGCGTCTCACCAAGGCTCACCACTTAGCCATAGCCTCAAACCCGTGGGGAAGGAAGGTCTCCCCGCCCTGCAAGAGGACAAATAACTGATTTTTGTTCATTTGACTCTGTTTTAAAATTCTCTTTAAAAAAAAAAAAAAAAAAAAAAAAGAAAAAGAAAGCATATCTGAAACTTAAAAAAAAAAAACAAGGAAAAAAGATGAAAAAAATGACATACTTACATAGGTGAAAAACACATAGATATATCTATAAGCAACAAACACAGCTAATTCAAATATAAATTAAATATCACATTGTCATAATGTGTACCGAGTTAAAAAATTATCATTCAACTCATGATATCAAGCTTTAAAAGCAAAAATACAATTAACTGCTCTGAGAAAACATACCCCCCCAGAAAAGAAACACAACAACACAGAACTGAAAATAAGAAGAGAGATTTTAATGCATAAAATCCTGAATACAACATAAATATACAATGAAAAATAAGCCCTTTTTGTTTTTTTTTGAGACAGTCTCACCCTGTCGCCCAGGCTGGAGTGCAGTGGTGCCATCTCGGCTCACTGCAAGCTCCGCCTACTGGGTTCACGCCATTCTCCTGCCTCAGCCTCTCGAGTAGCTGGGAATACAGGCACCCACCACTATGCCCGGCTAATTTTTTCTATATTTAGTAGAGACGGGGTTTCACCGTGGTAGCCAGGATGGTCTTGATCTCCTGACCTCGTGATCCACCCACCTTGGCCTCCCAAAGTGCTGGGATTACAGGCGTGAGCCACCATGCCGGGCTGAAAAATAACCCTTTAGATATCTACAGCTTTAAACTGTGTGCAGTCATGAAAAGCAGACATTGGAAGTCATTGGCATTTAATAAATTGCAGAAAAATTATACAGTAAATACATTACAATCATTAATAATAGGCTCTAATGAGAAGAATTTAATAAATAATCATTAAAAAGACAGCAGAATTTTATCTGTTCTCAATATGTTGCTGCTCTTCTTATCAAATACTATAATAAAACTATATGACTATAATATAGCTTTCAGGAGCTAAAAAAAGCCTTATATTTTCAAATAAAAGAACAATATAAATTTTGCAAAATACAATGAGCATTACTGAAGTATAAAGTAAATATTTGGAATTAAAATATATGGTCATTTAGATACAGACTAAAAAAGAATAGAAATCTTAATGATTCCTTTCTGCCTACAGTGAGCTTAAAATTACAACCAAAAATTTTAACAAATATGTAGCACCTACAAGAAATTTTATTAACAGCTTACATAATGTATAAATTTGAGCAATTTATTTTAGAACTTTTGAATCTGAAAATCACCTGCTTGACATTCATTTGAGAAAGTGAAACATAAAGGAGAGTAACATAAGCAAGACGACAGAATGTGAGGTTCTGCATCCACATCCCCCACGACATAATGCAGCTGCCACAGCAAACGTAAGTGCATTCATGAAAGCCTTGAAATCCAGTTCAGAGTTTGTGGCACCCAGCTGGAGGCAAAGACCAAGGAAGACATTTTCAGAGGGTGAGCACTTGACCAAGTGGCAAGCTTGCCAATCATGGTCCCGGCTTCAAAACAGAATACTGCCACATCTTACTGTAGACTTGGCTATAACTCATTTGACCTTGGTCCTGCCACTGCAACAATCTGTGAAAAACACAAGAGAATTCATACTCACCTGAGACTTAGGTGACAGGCCTGCAGAACTTGGTTCTCTCTATAGTCACTGAGTCAGGCAAAACACACCTTCTTTCCTTCTCCAGCCATGGTCTGGAAGAAATCTTCACATTGATATGATGAAATGCTAACTAACAATATGAAAAATACTAAAGTATAAATGTCACTAAAATGGTAAATACATACTGAATTTCAGAATACTATAAATTGTTATCATCTTAAACTAGACTATTAAAATACAAGATGTTTTACCTAAGTCTCATGATAACCACTAGGAAAAAAAAACTGCAGTAAAGAAAAAGAGAAAGTAATTAAAGCATACACAAACAACAAAAATTACACATTGGATATGGTGTCTCCTGCTTATAATTCCAACACTTTGGGAGGCCAAGGTGGAAGGATGAAATCTCCTTGGGTGTTGCGGTACGTGTCTGTAGTCCAAGCTACTTGGGTGGCTAAGGTGGGAGGATTATTTGAGCCCAGGAGGTTGAAGCTACAGTGAGCTGTGATATGCCACTACACTTCAGTCTGAGCAAGAAAGCATAACTTTGTCTCAACAAAAATGAACAATACCACAGGAAAGACAGAACCAGAAAAAAAAGAAGCAAACTTAAAATGGACAGAAAACTACAAATTTACAATAGTAACTCCTTACCTATCACTACCTTACAAATAAAAAGATTAAAGTATCTACTAAACAGATACTGCTGTACACTGAATGTCATCTCCAAAATTTAGGATAAAATTTAATAGCCAACATGTTAGAATTAAGAGGTGGAACCTTTAAAAATTAATTAAGCTCTAAGAACTCTGCCCTCATGAATGGATTAATGTTCTTATTATGGGAATGGGCTAATTTTAACAAGAATGGATCTGTTATATATTAAAAAAAAAAAGCTCTCTCTCCCTCACATCTTTGTCTATGTTATTATCCAGCAACTAGACCTTCAACATATACCAGTATCATGTTGTTTTGGCTTCCCAGCCTCCAGAATCATAAGTCAAATAAAATTCGATTCTTTATTAATTACCAGTGTGTGATATTCAGTTATAGCAGCCAAAAGAGACTAAAGCAGACAGAGTGGATAAATTAATCTTTTAAACCTCGTAATATGCTGCTTACAAGAGACTCAATTATGAATTAAGAGCATAGGCTAAAAGTGAAAGGATAGAAAATGATATTCCATGCAAACAATAACCAAAGGAGTGCAACGGTAATGCTTAAATTAGACAAAATAGACTTTCTAGCAATGTCTCTCACAAGCATGAAATGAGTTTACCATACAATAATAATAGAGGTTAATTTCTCAAGAGAATATAGCTTTATATATTTATGCACCCAAAAGGGAGGCTTCTAAATATAAAAAGCAAATATTGCCAGAACTGTAGGGAGAAGTAGAAAGAAACCAAATAATAGAAAACTTTAATGAAATGTATAATAAAGGACATATAGTTAACAGCATTGTAAATTGGCAAGGGAAAGCTGGTCTCATGTGTTGCATTTGAGAATGCAGCAAAGAAAGTGGGAACTGATAATTTTACTGCAAGCCTGAGTTAGGATGAAAAACAGGGTGGTCGATTAGAGGTTCCACTTGCCATACATTAAAAAAACACAGGAGAAAACCAGTCCTCCTCTGGAGTGTTAAAATAATTAAAGATCAGAAAATTAGTCTAAAGTGGCTCTAGTGCCCTGTGTTCATAGGTAAAAAGCAAAAAACAAACAAAAAAAAATCTAAAACCTAACTCAAATATATTTCCTATAAAACACTATCTTAGCCTGAAGCAAAATGCAGGTTTAACCCATGACAAACATGCAATTAACCTCTGAATATGTAACCAGGACATTTCCATCTGGATAGTTCAAATAAGGCTACCATATAACTGGAACCAATTCTTGAATTTGGGTTGCTTTCTCATGCATCTTATAAAAGCCTTTCCTTTATGCCCCTCTGGTGGACCAGAAATCATGGCTGGGTGCTTTCCATTTCACCAATCACTCTTTGTTCAGATAAACTGATGAACCTTTTAACATAGACTCCCGTTAATTTTTAACAAGAGAGACTGGGGACCCCACGGGCCGCAGCTCCTCCCACGCAAACACCCAGTCGCGGTTTTTCCCTGATGACCCACCAGGCCTCCCTGAACAATCTGGGAAATACTCATGGCTGTGGGCGCAGAGCAGGGCGCTGCCCAGGGACAGGACCGGATGGGCCGGACGGGACGTGGGGGCCCTCGCTGCTGGCCCAGCGGCCATCTTGCAGCCACAGGGGACTGAGGGCCAAGCTGCGGGAGACTCGGAGCTAACCGTGGGGAGGCCGGTCCTGCCGGTTTCACAGTCTGTTCTCCCCTCTCGGGATGGCGAACCCCGTATACTCACCATTTCCCAGCTTCCAGGATGTCCTGGCACCTTAACTATGCGTCCCCAAGGACCTACAGATCACAGGGCAACAGGGGCTGTGAGAGAGTAGCCCGGGGCTCCCAAGGTGCAGGAGGCGAAAGAGGAGACGGATCCCAAGCTCTTGTGCCAGCACCAGCGAGAGACACAGATCCCGCCAAATGCAGGAAGCCACGCCCTCCTTTCCTCTCCTCTGCCACCGCGCGCCTGATTGGGCGGTTCCCACATCAGTGTCAATGACTGGATAAAACTCCAGGACGCACCCACCCGAGCCTGACTCCTGCCCTTACCCCCACTCCCCCTCAGCCTTAGTGCATTTTTGTTAGTTTGTTTTTCTTTAAGTTCTGGAATACATGTGCAGAAAGTGCAGGTTTGTTACATAGTTTTACATGTGCCATGGTGGTTTGCTGCACCTATCAACCTGCCATCTAGGGTTTAAGCCCCACATGCATTAGGTATTTGTCCTAATTTTCTCCCTCCCCTTGACCTCAACCCCTTAACAGGCCCCAGTGTGTGATCTTTGGTTCCCGGTGTCCATGTGTTCTCATTTTTCAACTCCCACATATGAGTGAGAGCATATGGTGTTTGCTTTCCTGTTCCCGTGTTAGTTTGCTGAGGTTAATGGTTTCCAGCTTCATTCACGTCCCTGCAAAGGACATGAACTCATTCTTTTTATGGCTGCTTATTATTTCATGGTGTAGATGTGCCACATTTTCTTTTTCCAATCTATCAATGATGAGCATTAGGGTTGGTTCCAAGTCTTTGCTATTGCAAACAGTGCTGCAATACACATATGAGTACATGTGTCTTTATGCTAGAATGATTTATATTCCTTTGGGTATATACCCAGTAATGAGATTGCTGGATCAAATGGTATTTCTGGTTCTAGATCCTTGAGGAATCACCACACTGTCTTCCATAATGGTTGAACTAATTTACACTCCCTCCAGCAGTGTAAAAGTGTTTCTATTCCTCCACAGCCTCACCAGCATCTGTTGTTTCCTAACTTTTTAATAACTGCCATTCAACATGGTGTGAGATGGTATCCCATTGTGGTTTTGATTTGCATTTCTCTAGTCTCCAGTGATGATGAGCTTTTTTCTTTTTGTGTGTTTGTTGACCACATAAAGGTCCCCTTCTTCTTCTTCTTCTTCTTCTTCTTCTTCTTCTTCTTCTTCTTCTTCTTCTTCTTCTTCTTCTTCTCCTTCTCCTTCCTCTTCTTTTTCTATTTATTTTATTTATTATTATTATTATTATTTTTAAGATGGAGTCATGCTCTGTCACCCAGGCTGGAGTGCAGTGGAAGGATCTCGGCTCACTGCAACATCTGCCACCCAGGTTCAAGTGATTCTCCTGCCTTAGTCTCCCCAGAAGGTGGGATTACAGGCCACCCGCCAACACATCCTACTAATTTTTTGTGTTTTTAGTAGAGATGCGGTGTCGCCATGTGGCCCAGGCTGGTCTTGAACACCTGACCTCATGATCCACCTGCCTCCACGGCTGAAAGTGCTGGGATTACAGGCTTGATCAACCGTGCCCAGCCAAATATCTTCTTTTGAAAAGAGTCTGTTCATATTCTGTGCCCACTTTTTGATGGTTTTTTTTTTGTGTGTGTGTGAATTTGTTTAAGTTCCTTGTAGATTCTGGATATTAGACCTCTGACACATGGATAGAGTGCAAAAATTTTCTTTCACTCTGTAGGTTGCCTGGTCACTCTGGTGATAGCTTCTTTTGCTGTGCAGAAGCTCGTTAGTTTAGTTAGATCTCATTTGTCAATTTTAGCTTTTGTTGAGATTGCTTTTTGTATTTTATTCATGAAGTCTTTGCTCATGCCTATGTCCTGAATGGTATTGCCTAGGTTTTCTTCTAGGGTTTTTATGGTTTGGTGTTTTACATTTAAGACTTTAATCCATCTTAAGATAATGTTTGTATAAGGTGTAAGGAAGGGGTACAGTTTCTGTTTTCTGAATGTGGCTAGCCAGTTCTTTCAGCACCATTTGGTAAGTAGGAAATCTTTCCCCATTGCTTGTTTTTGTCAGGTTTGTCGGAGATCAGATGGTTGTAGATGTGTGATGTTATTTCTGAGGCCTCTGTTCTGTTCCATTGGTCTATATATCTGTTTTGGTATCAGTACTGTGCTGTTTTGATTACTGTAGCCTTGTAGTATAGTTTGAAGTCTGGTAACAGGATGCCTCAAGCTTTGTTGCTTTTGCTTAGGATTGTTTTGGGTTGACCGGCAAACAGGCTCGTATATTTGGGTTCACATGCCCAGAGTATCACAGCTAATTAAGACGTGAGCTGAGACTTGAAATGCACATGCTCTTTCCCTTACCTGGGTCTGTTGTATAATGCATCTTAGCAGCTATGTAACAGTAGGAATTAGAATATTTAGACATGTTTTTAGCAACTTTTTAACCTGCATTTTGGTAACGCGGTAAAGACCTTCATCCCGTCCTTGAGCCCCTCTCTCACAACACTGCACCCCACTGCTGACCACACTGTGGAGTGGCCATTAGGAATCAGGGGGGCAGCGGGGGCTGGAAATAAATAAGAAAGGATTATGTTGCCCAAATTTGCTCACCTTAGAAAGTCTCCTCAACCATTCTGTGTGAGGTGATTTTTCCAAGGTAATTGTGCCCTGACTGCGCTGGATGTCAGTGTGTCTTGTCTTTTTGAAAATCACTGGATTACTCTCATGAACGGGGTATTTCTCTTTCTATTTGAAAACGGTCAACTGTCCTCTGCAGGTGTCCTGATTTGCTAGTTGAGACCCTGAAGGTAGCGGTGAGAAAATATTTGGGCCACATCAGAATACCTATTCTCAGCTGGAGGATATATAGAAATTTCTTAATAATATCTAACCATTTTCTCAATAACCATTATATTTAACATTGATAGCTTGGAGGGCAGGGAAGGACACAGATGACACAATCTTCAAAGTTTAATTTATTTATAAGGTTTTTTTTTTGTTCTTGTTCAGTTTTGCTTAGTTTTTGGATACAAGGTCTTGTTCTGGTGCCCAGGCTGGAGGGCAGTGGCATAATGATAACTCATAATTTGGTTGTAACGGTTCTTTAAAATATATTTTTGCTGAGAGTGCTAGCTCACACCTGTAATGTAAACACTTTAGGTGGCCAAGGTGGGATTATCGCTTGATCCCAGGAGTTCAAGATGAGTCTGAGCAACATAAGTAGGCTCAGTCTCTAGAAAAAAATTAAAAAATTGTCTGGGTGTAGCTTTGCATGCCTGTAGTCCCAGCTACTTGAGAGGCTGATTTGAAAGCATCACTGGAGCCTAAGAATTTGAAGATGCAGTGACCCATGATTCAGCCACTGCATTGACAGAGTGAGATATGTGTGTGTGTGTCTGTGTGTGTGTATAAAGAATTTGTATGTGAAAAAAATTCAAGCACAGAATAAAAGTGAAAGCCCATGGTGGGGGATGTGGAGAAGGGTCAGTGTGGCTCCAGCACCTCAGTGAGACTTGGTTTTCCATCTTGAAGAATTGCCCATCCACACTGAAACCATAGCCTAACATATGCCAGTTCTCACACTACACCTGCTGGGATACCAGTATGTAGCCTTTTGAAAAAAATAAAATCTTTCACCTAAGAGAAGGACAAGAGAAAACGAGGGTTTCACATCTAAAGCCTTCATTTTCTTTATGAATCAACAGCCAGTTGTCATTTGAATTGTCCAGAGGCGACTGACAGCACCAATACACTTAATGAATCAACCAGGAAAAATGGGCCTCTCAGGTGAGGAGGAGGCACAATCGTCACAAAACCCAATCCATTCTCAGCTTTGCATGGTGCTCGCATCTCAAGAAGTGGTGTTAGCCATGTGAACCGTGTTCACTGGACAAGGCCAGAGGAAAGAATATTTAGTACAACACAACTATGGGGCTGCAAATCAAACTGGTAGTGAGAGCATGCATGAGGCTTCAGTGGCCGAGACACTGGTGGCTACCCTTCGGTGTCACTTAAACCTTTGAGGTGAAGGACATCTTTTTTCCCAACTGGCTCAGAGAAACCAATCAACATTAAAATTGAGATTTGTTTTTCTTTTCAAAATTTCTAAGACATAGAGGACTCTCTAACACTCCAAAAGAGATTCAGCTATACATGCAGCTGAGGACCTGCCTGCTCTGTAGAGGGATGGCAGAGCAGCGGCCACCAGCTTTAGTAGCTTTAAGCTCCTCTTCTCATAGGGACAGGCCACCCCCACACAACCCCCCTAAATTCATAGGCTCTGGCTGTCAGGTGCACCTGGGGGACTGTCTTCCTCCCATCTCATTAGCTCTCGAAGACAGTTCAGCTCAATCTAAAACCTACCTTAGGATGGTGAGTTGTAGGCTCTCCTCCATTCTCCCAGCGCAGTGTGACTTCTGGAGAGTGCTTCTCCATCCTCTTACCTCAGATGATGTGAAAAGAGCTGGTTCCCGGGTAGTTAGATGTTCAGTGACATAACAGGCCCAGCATGCGCAGGGCCTGGCCCCACAGCCTGGCACGTCTCCCCTACCTGGCCTTCACGCTGGACTTTTCTCTTCTGCCACAAATATCAGGTGATGATCACCTCTGCCACACTCTCATGAGCTTGGTAAGTAGCAGGGGTGTAAACCCCAACAGATTTCCTGTGACTCTACCCTCTTACCACACACTCAAGTGACATTATAAGCATACTTTTACATTTGATCTTATTTATGCATAATTTTTTTATAACATTTCTGACAACAGCCCACACAACGAAATGAGTCTGGCTTACAGAACACACGGGCGAGGCTGGGGTAGCATGTTTCAATTACTTTATTCCAATGTGAAATGAAGACTGATGATTTAAAAACAAGACAAAGTTGTTTATCAGCTGTGGGGTGGCTACACTTGCTACCTCATGCTCACTTCCTTTGAAACAAGGTATCTGGACAGACCATATTCATAAGTAGCTCTTCGCAAAACCCCAGACAGAAGCCCCAGTCAGACACAGCTCCCTCAGGCTCACAGGGCAGCAACCTCCTCCTCCATGTTAGGCTCTGACAGCAGGCAAGGGAAGAAGCACAGGCAGCAGGGGACAGGGAGGGTCCGGGACTGTAGGGATCCCCAAATGCCCCAGAAGTATTCTCTGTAGAAAGGCACACGCAGGTCTCACTGTGTCAGTGCAGTGGCTGAATCATGGGTCACTGCAGCCTCAAACTCTTAGGCTCCAGTGATGCTTTCACCTCAGCCTCTCAAGTAGCTGTATGGCAAAAAGCCTCCCATTTTTTTACTTAAAACCTGGACTTTAAGCCAGTTTGGACCTGGGGATAGTGGCAGCAAAAGCAGCAGCCAAATGTATACACTCCAGATGTCTACACTCATGGGCACAGGCATATTCCACACTTGCTGGAGCACGAGAGGCCTGAGAGGCACCTGTTTCCCAGTTGCTAACTGATGTCCATACACCCCATTCACGTGTCTTCATTTAGGTTTCTGCATAGTGTATTTGCTTAGCCACTGTAAACACATCTTCTGGGGGGCATCATTAATTGCAGCACCTGCCCCACTTGTTCTGGGAGGGAGTCAGGAGGAATCTGGTCAGCTCCTAATCCCCCAGGACAAAGGTGCTTCCCCCTTTTCAGCACTCACATCCAGCAATGCCATCTCTGGATGGGTTTTTCAAACACAAGCAGTATGAGGTAGCAAGAATGGTGTGACAGGCTCAGGGCCATGGGCAGCCGGTTGCTGGAGAAGCAGCACAGGGCAGGCACATCTGTGGGTGGCACCATGACAAGCCAAGGCAGCCACAGACCCTAATCCCAACAGCTCCAGCCCAGATGGCATTCAAATCTTCCCAGATAGTATTGGGGTACCCTATGCCCATCACTTGCCTGCTCATTAGCACGGCCTTGTTGGTTACTCAGGGACTAAGGAGAGAGGGTGGGGGATGTAGATCCAGGGTGGGCACCGCCTCACAGCCAGAGTCCACCTGACTGTAGGCCAGCAAGCAAGCCCAAGCAGCTCAGCTCTAGTCACCTCTGGCTGTACTTTATGTGTATACATTACATAAAGGTAGCAAACAGAGGTCAACAATAGCTGTTGTGACATGAAAGTCTATGCCTCATTAAGACCTTAAAATGCTGTTGTCTTAAGCTCTCTTTATTCTAATAAAATTTATACAAATAAACACATGCAAGCTGAAACTACTATAAATGAAATATTAGGATTTTTTAAACCCATAAACAGACACAAAGACAGTCACTGTTTGATTGCAGAGAAAGTGAGATTCTAAAGCAGCTGACCACAAAACAGCCTCACCAAACCCCAGGCAGGCCAGGCAGTCTGAACACTACAAGGCCACGTGATGGTCACAGAGGATGACAGCTCCCGTGAGTATTGCAAGGCACTGTGTTAGCTTCTCACTCACAGTCTCAGAATACCCTGTGAGGGGAGGCCCCATCTCACCAGAGCACAGGAGGTTCCTGAGCTCTTCCCAGAAAATGGTCATCAAACGATGGAGCAGAGGGAAGCCCAGACAGAACAAGTGAGTCCCTAGGGTCTCCTTAACCTCCCTCAGCTCCTCCACATGGGTCCCTGAGGGAAAGTGAGCAGCCTCCTAACCCCCTTGATAGGGTTCCAGTCCTGCAGGTCGGACTCTCTCATTTTATGCTACCATAGGGGGTGACAATGCAACCCCAGGCCCCTTATTTGCCATCCCTCAATGCCAGGCCAGGCCCAGAGCCCTTTGCTAACACAGCCCAGGAGATGCTCAAGGCCCACCTCGGCACAGTCACCTGTAGTGTACTGAGATGAGCAAGGAGGTGCAAGTAGACACAAATCCCCATGGGCTTGGCCTCAGCCATGTTCCACAGGCTCAGGGCCTCCCTGATGAGCTCACAGCCCTCCTTCAGGAAGCCTGCAGATCACACCCTCAGGGAGCAGTGCTCAGATGAGCAGGCAGGCCCCACATCCCCCACCCCATGACGCTCTGTTCCACTTTGCAGGCTTCTGCATTGGCCAGTCCCCACTGCTTTCTGGTGAGATGTCTGAGTTGAAGTGAATGTTGAAGGCCACAGAGCTGATGGAGCTCACTGCCTTGCACATGTTGTAAATCACCTCCTGGCTTCAAGGGTCAGCTGTGGAGACACAGCTTGATGGGAGGTAGGCCCACTCCACCGTCAGTAGTGCTGGGTTGCCCTGATCTGCACCTTCCAGGTCCTTCCTGAGATGTCTGCATGCTTCTCTAAGGGACTGTATCAAGAGGCACCCCTGGCAAGAGTCAGCTGGCAGAACAGGCTGGACACTCTCCCTCAGCCTCCCCAGCAGCCCCGCCTGTGCTGTCATCTGTGCTGATGATCTCCGTGGTATGATTATGGGAAATTTTTTAAAGCATCTTTTCCCCGTTCATTTCCCTATCTTAATAACAGCACTGATAACTTTTAAGCCCTAGCAAGCTGAAACTGCAAGACACATGATCTTCTGCCTTAGAAGGGCCATGTTTGGGCAGTGTGTGCCCAGGTGAGAGCCCCATGGTTGTTAGTGGAAGCGGGGAGCTGGATGGGCCCGGCCCCATAACCTAGTGAAAAGTGGGACCCTCTCCTTCCAGAGCATGGAAGTCTCAGAGGCTGGAAAAAGGTGCCTGAGTGGCCTGCCAAGAAGCAGAAGGCTAGAAGGCCTGGAAAGAACCCCAACAGCCTTCAAGCTGCCTGAGAGGGCTGGGCTCATTCCAGCTTTCTTTGCTTTCATCCTGTTAGCAAGAAAACCTGCTCACAGATGGCAGGCGGGCCTGAGGCTGCCATTCCCTCATCAGGGGCTATAGGCACCTTTAATGTGGCTCTTTCTTGAAGCAGCTGCTCAGGCCGGTTCTCGAAGAGCAGTTCCCTCATTATCCACAGGTCCTTCTTCCAGCCCCGTGCCTGCAGAGGGACTAGGGAGGGAGAAAATCTCTCAGCCTGTGCCCCACAACCTGCTTTGAGACATCTCTTTTGTTACTTCCTCACAGACAGCCTGAAACTTCCAAATGAACAGACCAGAATGGAGCCTCCAGGAAAGTGTACAGAATTCTGTCTAGTACCCAGAAGGAAGGGGGTTCCCAGTGAAGGCAGGGCCAGGCTGCATGCACCTCTTCAAAAATATTCTCCTCATAGTCCACCCTCAAGGTGTACATCCTCTGTGTGCTTGCAGTCCATGGCAGCCTCTGCCTTGGGAACCGTCCAGCTGCACACCTGCAATATGGTGGTGACCCTCTTGAATGGATGGTTCTGGGCCCCATTGCAGGCAGCAGATAGGGAGATGCTCAGCCCATCAAGCCCAGAGCCCTGCCACAGGCTTCTTTGAGGCCTCCACCTGCTCTGGGTTCTTGCCCTGAGAGGCTGCCCTGAAGTCAAACAGAAGCAGGTGGGACTCTCTTCCACAGCTGCTCTCTCTCCCACTGACAGCTCCCTAGAGGGTAACTCAGACAGAGAAGATAGAATTCTCAGGCAGAAGGACAGGAGTTTCGGCTGCCGATTCATTCCATACCCCCACATGACATGACACAAGGCAGGGGCTGTGGGACAAAGTCATTGCCTTTCCTTCTGGCATGAGGAATGCCTTAGGAAGCAGGTCTGGTGGGGCTAGGGTTGAGCGATAGGCTTCAGACCACAAGGAGTGGATGGACACTGAGCAAGTATCCTGGTTATCTGTCCACAGATCCAGAACAAGTGGCATCCCAGGAGCCTGGGAGGGGCTGGCAGAGACTTACTGTGTCCAGCAAAAGCCCCATGTGGATGCGGTAATGCTGCCTGCTGGTCCTTGGCTGTAATTACAAACAGGTACATGAGGTCCCCATGGATCTTGCAGCTCTCAGGGAGTGGGTTCCAGCTGCTCATGGTAGGCACTTTTAGTCACTGAACGTGCTTCAGGAATGGCCAAGCTTGATTAAGCCAGGCGTCTTGCTGTGAGACCCTCCACCCAACTGAGGACCCTCTTCCTTGTCCCCCCTGACAGTTTACCTTCCAGTTCTGGTTCTGGAGACACGATGGCCCTTCTTGGGCCCCTGGGAGAATGTGCTCAGATGACACACAGTCGACAGGACCCATTTCCAAGCCATTCTTCCATTTCCCACTGTTTGAGGGGCCGAGGCCGGTGATCAGCACAGGGCCACCCAGGGCCAGCTGTCTGCACCTAAACGTCATGTTGGTCTGGATGTCTCAGGGCCAGAACTCTCCAGGTAAGATGGCCTGGTCCTCAGCACCTGGCCTCCATGCTCCTTTTTCCTCTGTTCAATCCTGGCCCCAATGCCTCCCGCAACTCTCAGGTCACCATTGGAGAAGATGCTCAGGAAGAACAAGGAGCTGCAGTCAACCCTGCTGAAGGTGGCATATGGGTCCAGGCTCTTGAGCTGGTCTTTGACATGGTACATGTGGATGCAGGCTTTGAGCAGTGTGAGTAGCTCTTTCCGGAAGGAGGGGAAAACGGTGTTACCAGGGTCCTACACCCTAGAACGACCCATCTAGCACAGAAAACAGTTTGCAACGTGCTATTATGTGTGATTTTAATTTTGGGCTTTAGGCTTTCATTTCCAAATTCCACAATAAACACATAAGGTGGAGTTCTGATTTCAACACACACACACACACACACACACAAGCACACACACACATTCTCTCTCTCTCCCTCTCTCTTAGAATCTTCCAGTGCATTCACACTGAAAGCCGAAGTCCTCCCAGAATCTTGTGAGAACCTAAATGATCTGAATAGTTTGTCATTGCTTTTGGGGATCTGGGAAAATCTCTGCACATTTCTGGACACCGCTGTTATGCCATTTTTAATAAATCTGTTGTGCTTCAATTCAGAAGTGTGTGAGGGGAGTTGTGGAGGAATTGGCATTTGGGTTAGAAATTCCAGGAACAACAGAGACAGATGACACCTGTTTTCTGCTTCATAATGTCAAGTTTTATGAAGGCTAAAACCTAATTCTACAAAAAAATTAGACTGAAAAACTTTATAGGCAAAAATTATCTTATTAAATAGGAAAATCTAATTATTTTATTTTAAAATTTTCTTTTCTTTAGTAGGACCTAATCATAGAAATTTAAACACTGTATGCCAACAGCCTCTACTGTAGGATGGTTTATTGTAAGTACTCATTTTACAGATTTCTTACAAAAACTTTTTCCGTAAGGGAAATTAGAATATTGTTCAACATATATTGAATTCACAATTATTACCTTATTTCTCACTTATTATTTTATGATTCTGTTTTCTTTAATATGAAGATTACTATGACTGTGTTTTCACTTTCTGAATGATCATGTGTCACATTTTTCTGTAATTTCAGTTTGAGAAGTTGTAAAACAGCATGCTCAAATGTATATGTTATGTATCAATTATATAATTAATTATTAAAATATTTGGCTTGTATGTTTAATTGACTCTAGGCACAATATTACTATTAGCATTTTCTTCCAGTTTTCCCAACTTTTATTTGACTAATAGTACAATTTATTTCCAGTTTTTATTTTATCTGTCAATGTTTTATACTGTATTTACAATATTTATATTGTTACCATATGTAAAAATGTAAGACCTTTCTATTAAAGGCTAGATTACAGCCTTACCCTTTTGTGTAAGGAAAGAAGCAATGCATCAGTAGCATAATTTAAAACTTTCTCTAGTATTACTTAAATTTTTATTCCTTAAAACTTTCTCATCACATCTCTTTTTAATAATTATAATATGGTTTCTTTGAAATGTTGTTGCCCTAATTGTATCCAAATAATTCAAAATTTATACTTTTTATGGATTCAAAGGAAGAGTTGAAAATTGTAGTTACCTAGGATTCTTTTTCAGTTGGACACTATGTTTATTCAGGATTTTATAGATCAAAGTTTCTCTTAATTATGTTTTAGAATTTATGTTTCTGTATTTTTTAGAGTAGGCTGTCTCACAGCAGTTAATTGTGTTTTTACTTTCTACCTATTTATTATGATTTTGAATTACATTATTCAAGTAAGAATTCGGGGAAGGTTTCTTTTAAGTTTGTTTTGCAATTTTGCATTTCTGTGTTTCGTGTTTTAGGGTAGGGCACCTTACATCAGTTTATTGTTTTTAGTTTGAATTTATATAATATAATTTTCTATGACAATATTCAAATCTGTACAGCTTAAGACAGTGTGAGGCAAAAAATATGAACCATCCCTATGGTCTTTTGTTAATATAATGATTTAATTGTTTGTTTGCTTGTATAAATATTGCCCCTATTTTGTTTATGACTTGTGTTATTTTCTTCTTGTTTGATGGACAATAATTGATTCTGTCTAAGTGAGTAATCATGGAAATTGTCTTAATTTCAACATCTATTGTTTATATTATCCTAGTGTGAAAGAAAGACTTATGCGATTTGAAGATAATTTTTCAAAAACTTTGTA
This sequence comes from Homo sapiens, assembly GCF_000001405.40. Lineage (NCBI taxonomy): Eukaryota > Metazoa > Chordata > Mammalia > Primates > Hominidae > Homo > Homo sapiens. The sequence continues at coordinate 166,496 of NW_021160013.1, forward strand.
ACTCTCTCTCTTCAGGTGTCTTTACTTATTTATTTATTTTTTGACAGACTCTCACCCTGTCGCCAAAGTGCAGTGGCACAATCTTGGCTCACTGCAACCTCCACCTCCCAGGTTAAAGCAATTCTCCAGCTGCTGCCTCTTGAGTAGCTGGCATTAAAAGTGTGCACTACCACGCCTGGTTAATTTTTGTGTTTTTCATAGAGCTGGGGTTTCACCATGTTGGCCAGGCTGGTCTTGAACTCATGGCCTCAAGTAATCTGCATGCCTCAGCCTCCCAGAGTGCTGAGATTACAGGCATGAGCCATCTCTCTTGGCCCTTGGGTGTCATTTTTAATTTCGATTGTGGTAAAAATACATAACATAAAATTTAGAATCTTTAATATTTTTTCTTATACAGTTCAGTCATGTTAATGTATTTACATTGCTTTGCAACATATTTGTAAAACTTTTTTCTTTTGCAAAACTGAAACTCAGGACACATGAAATGACAACTACCCATTTTCCTTACAACCTGGCTCCTGATAAAAATCATTCTATTTTCTGTTTCTAAGTTTCAATACTTTAGATATTACATATAAGTAGAATCATAGAGTATCTGTTTTATTGTGACTAATTTTACTTAGCATCATGTTCTCAAGATTTCTCTTTATTGTGGATGGTACAAGATTTTCTGCCTTTAAAAGCTGAGTAATATTCCATTACTTTTGTATTACAAATTATATTTATTTATTCATTCTATGAGGAAAGTTTGTGTTGCTTTCACCTATTGGCCTTTGTGAATAATGCTGCAATGAATATTGGTATGCAAATAGCTATTTGCTCATATGTGTGAGGTTTACATGTGTGCTACCTTCTGTTTTATTGGAAAAATTGTCTGTCTTTATGCTAGAAACAAACTGTTTTCATTGCTGTTGCTTTGTAATGTGCTTTGAAATCAGAAAAGTTGAGGCCGCTAACATTGTTTTTTTTTAAAACATTTTTGGGCTCTTTATGGTCGCTTGACATTCCATATAATTTGTTGGTTCCTTCTTCTATTTCAAAAACATTGCTAATTTAAAAGGGATTGCATTGAATCTGTAACTCGCTTTAGGCATCATGAGCATTCTTCATAATATCAAGTCTTACAACCCTTAAACATGAGCATGCTCAAAAGTGAGTTGTTTAATTTCCATATATATGTTGCTATTTTTGTTTTCATCTGTTATTCATTTCTAGTTTTATTCCATTTTGATCAGAAATAATAGTCACTGAAAGGCTAAACCACTCTGGGAAGTGACCCCCATTATAGAACATTACAAAGAGATGTGAGGGCACCACTTCTGCCCTGATGGGCTAGAGGGATGTGTTCTCTGAGATGACACGTTGCAGACAAATGCAGGGAACAATATAACCCCCTTTTCATGTAAACTCTTCCCTATTTTTCTAGAGTATTAGTGATAGTGGTGGCTTTGAAGTCTTGGGGAAGGTCTGGCAGTGCCATGAAGCTGCCTGCTACAGGTGATACCAGGGGGGAAAAATTAAAACCATACAAACTGTAGTAACATGAATAAATACAGCCTAGTGTAAAGTAAAAACAACACAAAGGCCTTCTCTGATATTTCTACAAGAATGTAAAAAGGGACTTTACACTTAACCAAGCTGCCTTTGGGACTAGTTAAGGCTAGATTTTTGGGAGGCAGATCTTTGGGTCACTCATGGAAATCCCCTAAGAGAGAGCCCAGAGAAATTCCATATTTGGGTCTGGATCCTGGGCCCATCCTGGTTTTGTCAGATCCCTGTCTGTAGAGACCCCCATGTGCCTGCTCTCACCGTAACTCACTGTATGCCATGCTTGGGGGTGTGGTGAACCTGCCAGTTGTCCAAGGAGATGGGGGACTTGAACCCATCAAATATCTGCTCAATGATTTCAATGAAACTCTACAAAGAGTGTTCCCAGCAGCGAAGCAGAAAAAAAAAAAGAAAAAAGAAAAAAAATTAATTATCTCCTTTGTTTTTACCACCAGGTGACATCTCCATTAGAAATTCTGTTTCCTAGATCAGGAACATAGGAGTATCTGCATAGACCCCCAGCCAATGAGGAAACCCGAGGACAGCTTAAGGCCTTGGGATTCACATCTGAGTAGACACACTTGGTCCACAATGCTCAACTTTTTATTCCACCAGCCATGACCTGGGTACGAACATGACATACCTGCCAGGGTTCCAATGCCTTACAACCTGCCCCTGTGAGAAAGAGCCCCCTCCTTTCCTGCTCCCCCTGCAACACATGATAATGGTAGGCAGGGTCGGGTTGCCCAGATTAGATGAGACGGTTGGCCTGGCATGGACGGACCTGACCTGGGCTTCACTGTGTTACCTGTGTTTGCCTCTTGTCGAATGGCCAGTGGTATCAAGGATGTGGGCTGATCCAATATGTATATTGCCAGAAAAAGCTCTCACTTTGAGCCTTTCTCAGGCAACAGATTAGGAATATAGCACACAATGAGAACACAGTGATCTCTCAAGCATCTCCCATGAAATTAGCTAGATACAGGGCTGTCTCTAGAATGTGGGTGTCTGGTTCCCAAAGTTCTAAATTCTGTTAGGTTCTGTCACAAGGGAAGTCTGTTAACTTCTTCAAGGTTTTATCCCCTGAGCACTTTTCCTCCATAAATCTATGCGAAGGCCCTGCTGGGCTGCTGATTGCTCACCCTAATCTCCCATGTCAACTCTTTTCCTGTAAACAGTTATGCAAACACAATTATGCCCCTTACTCCCCAAAAAGATCTAAATACAGCCAGGGCCCCAGGTTTGAGAGAACAGAGTTGGGTTAAAATCTTCTTTTCCTTTTCATTTCTGTGACCATATGAAAATGACTGTGTGCTTCCGGTCTCCCCAGCCCTGAAGTATGCATAATGGGATTATGCTAACATCAACTTCCAAAAACAGTCTTTGGTGATATATGAGATAGAATGAATCAAAATCAGTTGGATGCAGTGGCTCTTGCCTGTAATCTTAGCAGATTGGTAGACCAAGGCGACGGGTGGAACACTTAAGGCCAGGGGTTTGAAACCAGCCATGGCCAGCATGGCAAAAACCCTTCTCTACTAAAAATCCAAAAATTAGCCAGGTGTGTTGATGCATGCCTGTAATCCCAGCCACTCAGGAGGCTGAGGTGTAAGAATCACTTGAGCCCAGGAAGCAGAAATTACATTAAGCCATGATCGTGCCTCTGCACTCCAGCCTGGGTGACAGAGCGAGACTGTGTCTCAAAAAAATATATATACTATATATATATATATATATATATATATATATATATATATATATATAATATATGTATATATATATAATATATTTATATATTATATATAATATATAAACTTATACATATACACCTTTATGTATAAAAGATACATATTTCATATATCTGTATACATAAAAGATATATATTTTATATATATGGCCTTATTTTTCCATTCTACAGCAGAAGAGGTTGAAATCAAAAGAAAATCAGATACTGTCTTCTGGCATTAAATATTCCAGTGCTGTGCATTATATTTGGAATCACATGTATATGCCTCATCTCAGCCTATGTGGTGGGCACCCCCAACAAAGTCTCACAACAACACTAAGTTGTGAGTGACTCTGTTATTTAAAAACGCAGCTCACCGCTCAGTGCCTCAGAAGCCGATACTATAACACCGGGTTTCCAACAAAGACATTGGATTCCAGCTGAAGCCTCTTTCCCTGTGCTTACTTAAAGGTAGTAATATTCTCAGAAAGGTTTAGGAGGTGGCTTCTTGTTTAGCAGGGAATTGCTGAAAGGAAAAATGTATGGAAAGTCACTGGGCATGAACAGCCATCTTTTCTTGCTACACACAGGTCATGTGCAAATTTGGGGACAGTTAGTACAAAACATGTGATGGAAATTTGGGCTCTTACATCAGTGAGCTTATTTCACACAGACTCTAGTTGACCATATTGGTTCCGACCAATTTTAGCCACTTTTTAGAAGTCTCATAAGTGGAATAAATTTCAGTCTTTCGACAAGTTCTATCTTTTCTTATCCGTCATTCTGCAAACTGAAGAATTTCTGCTAGTCATTGGTTGAACTCTTTGGGGACCTGTTTCTAGTTTCTGTCAAAGAGAATACAACAAATGTGATAGGTTATCACTTCTGACTTAGTTCAGACTTCTATACCAAAAACATAGACTAGGCAACTTATAAACAAAAGAATTTAGTTCTGGAGGCTAGAAATTTGAGATAGGCTTCCAGCATGGTTGGGGTCTGGTAAGGACTCTCTTGTGAGTTTCAAACTCCAGACTTCAGGTTGTATTCTCATTTAGCAGAGAGAGGGAGAGACAGCCTTCTGCAGTTTCTTTTACAAAGCCGGTAATCGCTATCATGAGGTCCTCATGCTTTGGACTTAATTACCTCTGACCTGCTAAGGCCATTACACTGGGGATTAATGTTCTGGAATGTGAATATGGTGGGGAATCACATAGTCTACTGCAACTTCCAAAGTTATATTTCTAAAACAGCTATTATTTTCCTCCCACTTGCTCTGTCCTGTGCGTCCTCTCTCAATCTCTCTGTCTCCCTTTCTCTTTTTCTGTGCATACGTCTGTCTATCTCTTTCATTTTCCATCTCTGTATTGTAATCCTCAAGATGAGGAAGCGATCTCCAGTGTCCTAAGATGCTCTAGGCACAGACCCACATGATAGAGAACTGAAGAACTGCCCAGGCCAATCAAAAGAAAGAAACTGGGGTTCTCAGTTCACACTGAATCTTGCCAATTTCCATGAGGCAGATTGGAGGCTGATCTCTCCCCAAATCCAGCTTCAGTTGAAATCACAGTCCCAGCCTCATAGGGGACCTTGAGGCAGAGGCACCCAACTAAGCTATATCGAGATTCTGGTTCACAAAAGTTGTGAGATAGTATTTGTTGTCAAAATGTGCTAAAATTCAGAGCAATGTTGTCACAGACGGGCAAATGACTAACCTCCTCTTTCAGGCCCCAGGATACACCCTCCCCTCTGTTCCTTTCTTTCTCAGGCTGCCTGCAGCCACACTTGTCCCGTTATAACCTCCTCTGCTAAACTGACTTGTGCCTCTGAGTCTTTTCACAAAGAGTGGCTTTTCCCTGACACACTTTCCACACCTGCGCAGTTGTCATTCTCATCACAACATAATGCCAGCTCAGTGAGGTATTCATGTCCCCTCCAGGCAACCTCTCTCCAGCCCTCCCTCCCAACATTCTACTTTATTTCCATTATAAAATGCTCTTTTCTTTCGCATGTACTTGCTTTAGTGTTTTTGTCCTGCAGTCCTCAGACTGTAGGCTCCCCGCGGGGATGCAGGGATAACATAATCGTTTTTGGTACCACATGGTGAACCTACCAAGGTAGCTGCCACAGGGTGAGTGCTAGGGGAAGAGCCGCTGAGTAAAATAACATGGAAAATCACAAAGTCTTTCCTGCTTTCGGTCACCCAATAATGTGGAGATCAAGAATGATAACAGGAGCTGCAGGCCCTCAGCCTGTCTCTCCCCCGGCTCCAGCTACTCCAGTAAAGTCCAGCGGGCACAAGAAACACGGGGTCTGCAGCCACCTAGAGGCCTCCGCTAGCACTGAAGTCCCAGGCAGAAGCATCACAAAACAGGTACCTGCACTGGGGAATTCTCAAGGCAGTGGCTCTTCAGGGACCCCTGGGAAAAGGAGCAGTATCTGAAGGCTCCAAGGGCCATAAAAGTGACCTCGGAAGCCTCCCTTGATTCCTATTTTCCTCAGCCTCGTTGGGTGTGCTGTGCACTCATTAAACATTTTAACAGCATTCGGCGACATTATTTTCTTCCACTTCCGAATGAGGACCTCAAGGACAGCCCAAAAAACTAGTATTTTTTTCTGGGCCCCACACTCCAGAGCCCAGTGCATTGTCACATTGTGCTTTATTCCAAGTCCTCATCCGCCCAAGTCTCTAGGCCTCTCTCTTCTCTGAAGGACCTCTAGAAACTGAAAAGCCTCTTCCCAGAGTCTCAAAGCACAGTGATTTACCAATGAAAAGCCAAGGGCGGCAGACACCTATGAGTATCTAGAATCCTTGGTATTATTCCTTCTCAGTACCCCTATTTATGAGGGAGAAAACAAAGGCTTTCTTTCCCGTAGCCTGTCTTTATATCACACGGGGTGGTGGGTGGAGGGCATAGCTCATTTTAGTTCCAGGTGCCCACAGAAGTGGGAGTCACAACCCCAGTCCTGTCCTCTTGAAACAGCTGGGAAAGTCCCCAGGCTTGGAAGAACCCAGGGAACCTGGAGGATCCTTCATCGCATGCTGTCAGCTCCTGGTCATGTAGCTGGGGGAGTGGATGCCTCTGCCTCATGGCAAAGCTGCATCTACTGTTTCTTCCCCTTTTGTCACTTCTTTGGTTTCCTCTTCCCTAACCTCACTTTAGAATCTCCACTTTAGATCTCCACTTTAGAAGCCTGTGTGTGTGTGATGTGTTTGTGTGTGCATGCCTGCACGCCTATGTGACAACATTGAAGAGTAGAAAGCCCAGGTAGAAAGTAGAGCACAGGGTTTTCCAGGACTCATGGGCTCTCATTTCCAAAGCAAACCTGATGGGTGGGGTGCATGCAAGGCCTAGGAAGCTGGATCCCTCCCTAATACTCTGTGCTCTGCCCAATTTCTGGGATCTGGACCAGTCTTTGCCTTTTTGGGAGGTCTCAGTCTTCCTGTTGTAAAATGAAGAGTTGGCTACAAAACTGTATGAGCACATGCTCAGTGAAGACAGGGTGTCATGCTCAATACCACAGAGAATATTGGGATGGGGAAAGTTTGGGCAGACTTAGGTGTCCATGCGTGCTCAGGCCTCTGAACAGGGCCAGTGCAGGCAAACATAAAGCACGGCACAGCCAGGTTTTCTTTCCAGGGCTACAGGATGAAACAGTGCACCACAGGATCTGCTCTTGAGGTCGGTCCCGCAAGATTTTCCCACCTTCAACCAGCAACTGTTTGATGAATTTCATGTCCTGTGAAGCCCATATCCACCCCCATTACAGTGAGGGGCACAGGGCACTAGACCTGTAAAATAATGTCTTTTGCCTTTTTTTCTTTTCTTTTCTTTTTCTTTTTTTTTTTTAATGAGTGGATGTTTCTTCTTTCTCCTTTTCTGTTTTGTTTGTTTTTTAACTAATTTTTAAGAGGTCTTTACAGGTCAGCTCTGGTGCCTCGCACCTGTAATTTCAACACTTTGGGAGGATGAGGCAGGTGGATTATTTGAGGTCAGGAGTTCAAAACCAGCCTGGCGAACCTGGTGAAAATCCGTCTCTACTAAACTTACAAAAAAATTAGCGGGGAATGGTGGCCCAAGCCTGTAGCCCCAGCTACTCAGGAGGCTGAGACAGAAGAATTGCTGAAACTTGGGAGGCGGAGGTTGCAGTGAGCCGAGATTGCACGACTGCACTCCAGACTGGGTGACAGAGTGAGTCTCTGTAAAAAAAAAAAAAAAAAGAGAGAGAGAGAGAGGGAGAGAGAGAGTGCTCTTCATGGAAACATGAGCCCCTTTGTAATTTCATGTGTTGAAAATATTTATTCCAATTTTGCAATTTCTTTTCTTATTGTGGTGTTCTCTTTAAGTTTGGTTTAGATGTTATTAGTGTTTCTCCCCAAATTGATTTATTGATTTCCATTTTCACAATACAATATTTTGGCAGAAATCTTGTGGAAACTGTCTAATCAGTTTAAAATTTTAAATACATATTAAAAAATCAAAGAACTGTAAAAACTGTCCTGAAGAATGACAAAGTTTGTGAGCTTACAATGCCATATATTCAGACTTAGATTAAAGCTATAGTAATAAAAGCTATCTATGGTAGTAATGAAAAAATAGGCACAAAGAAAACTAGAAAAACTCGAGAGTCCAACTCAGACTCACACATTTAGACATTTTGTATATTACAAAACAGGCACAGAAGAGCAGTGGAGAGAAGACAGCATCTCGGTAATTAGCCTTGGGTCATCTGGTTATTTATGTGAGAAAGAAATGAACCTATCTTATATTGTTAACAAATTTCGAGACAAGTGGATTTTAAATTTTAAGGTGAAAATTGAAAACAATATTTCTAGTAGATAACATAGATAAGTATGTCCATGACTTTGGCACAGGCCAAGATTTCTTGGGACACAAAATGCATAAATTATCAAGACAAAAATATGACAAATTGGACTTTATTAGAATTAAAACCTTCTCTTCATAAAAAAAAAAAGCTTCAGGAGAGCTGAAAGGCAAGAACAAAGTGGAAATCAACATTTGTCATATATTGATCTGGCAAAAGCTTTTTATCTAGATTATTAAGCTAAATCCCATCACTTAATAAACAAAGATGCATACATTGAACAAAATTGGCAAAGATATGACTAGGAGTTCCACATACAGAACCGAAGGGCCAACAAGTAGATGAACATATCCACATTCTTATGCATCAGAACAATGCATATGAAAACTACAATTGAATACCACTATGCAATCATTAACATTTTTGAAAACTGACAAAATTAAGTACTAGTGATGATGTCAAGCAACTGGAACTTTCTTATACCATTCTGTGTGCAAACTGTTATAACCACATTCAAAACCACTTGAGTAGTAACTCCTTACATACACGATGTACATAAGCACACTCTAGAACCCAGCAACTCTGCTACTAGGTATATACACCCAATAGAATTGCCAGCATATTTTCCAATGTAGTAAAGTGCTCGAAGTAGCATTATTTGGTACTTTTCCAAACTGAAAAAAACTCAAATGTGCATCAATAATAAAATAACTAAATAAAACAGCTACATATTCCTTTATAAGGGGACATTATACAGATATAAAATTAATTGGAGACATATTAAAATATACAAAAATCTAACAAATACAATTTAATTAGATTTAAAAGTCCTATCCACAGCAATCGGCCAATAGAAAAGAAAAAGGCATACAAATAGAAAAAGAAATTGAATTCTCTTTCTCCATTTGCAATATGAGTCACTACGTAGAGAATGCTAAAGCCTCTCCAAAACTACTTTTGGGGAAAACTTGAAAAGCCTCCTGAAACGGATAAGCAAGTAAAGTTTTAGGACACAAAACCAATGTACAAAAATCAGTAGCATTTCTATGCATCAACTACTTTGAATTCCTGAACATCTTCTGGTTTTATTGCATTTTCAATTTTTTCCCTCCATTAACTATACATTTTTTCTTTTCTCAGCTAAACTAATTTATTCTTCTGTATAATTTCACCTTGTTAATAAACCCCAGGCCAAAAAGTGGGAATAAAGTATTTGTCTGCATCCTGTTTCCTCATTTTGAAAACTAGTCTAGATGAAACCTATACTTGTTCTAGGGAGTTGGCATAGACAGCATTTATTTCCATTCTCAGCAGTGATGCCAGCCAGAAAGAGGGAGTTCCCCATTTTCACTTTGGTTAGACAGGACTCTGGATGGTTGAAGGGGAAAAGTTTCAGACTCTAAGGGAGCCAAATAGGATATTACAAAGATTTATGCATTTACTCCGGGAGCAATTATTGTGTTAAATTTTGTGCAAAACACTGCGCAAAGAGCAATTAAAGTGAAAATTATTAAGGCATTACCTTTACCTTGGGAAACTCACACTAGTCAGATTCTCCGAACCCCAGAACTTAACAACAACCTAGTAAAATCTTGTTCAGAGTGAAGAGAGGGTGGGATCAGGAAGGTAAGTTTAAAAATTAGGCTGGGTGAATGAGATAATTACCCCTAGTAATGCATTGGAAGTATGGATGGCTTTGGGATGGGTGAAGACAAAAGAATCTCAGCAGAGGGTGCAGATAAAAAAGGGCAGAAACACAGGAGGCTTATGCAGAAAGAGGAATGAGTTTGCTGGACTGGGGAGAGTGACAGTAAAAAGCAGAGGATAATAGTCCTCTGTGGTCATCTAGGGACTATAGGATGGATTAGTTGGGGGTTACAAAATCAGTGAGGTACTTTTTAACAGTAGGATGGATAAAGAAGAGCTATATTTTGGAATACTTATGTAGCAATGGTGGTTAGGAGCAATAGAAACTCAAAGTATTACATAAATATGTTTTTTTCTTATTCTCCCACACAAGCCTTTCGCCTTCCCTCTTAAACTGAGAACGGAGTGGTTTGCTATGATGTTTTTAAATTCTCACAGACAAGCATTACTCTGTGCTGCCTTTTAATAAAGGCTAATTTTAACCAAATTAAAGAAGATTGAATGGATTTTCTTGCTTATAATGGTTGAGTACAACATCTCTTACCTTCTACTAGTTTTCAGTATAACTGAAGTAACAGAATGTCAATACTCCATGGAGGGGTGTTCCTATTGCTAAGGCTCCCTCCTCTGGGCTAGGCCTTCTACACCATGGCTGTCCTGCTGTGGCTGGAGCTGGAATTTGGATTGACCTCTGTGTGTCTTCCTAGCACACAACAGGTGTCCAATTAGCATGGGCAGAATCAAGCTCCTCCCTCTCACCATTTATTTCTCCATTTGTCCCTTGTTGGGAATGGAGAGTCCTGCCACTGAGTTCAGCCCAGGGTTGAAGTTCAAATCTCAGCTGATACTTGGTGGATGTTGACTTTTTTGAGAAGAACTTGGGAGAATAAAACATTATAAAGGCGCTGGCCAGGCACGGTGTCTCATGCCTGTATTCCTGGCATATTGATTGGCTGAGGAGATAGAATTGCTTGAGGCCAGGAATTTGATACCAGCCTTGTCAACATAGTGAGACCCCATTTATACAAAAAACTTGAAGCATTAAAAACATTTAGCCTGGTGTGATAGTTCCAAACTGTTGTCTCAGCTATGCTGGACATTGAGGCAGAGGATCACTTGAGCCAGTAGTTCTAGGCTACAGGGAGCTATGATCGTGCTGCTGCATTCCAACCAGGGCAACTATGCAAGATGTTTCAAAAATAAAATCTTTTATTATTCTTCACCCCTATAGTCTCTCCAGAACTTGTGCACTATGTAGCAGAAAGAATCAAACTCCCCAAGAGTTTGGTTCTTGCTTATGATTTGGTTTTCTGCTGCTTGGCTGCCCCGTCATGTCCCCATTTTGTATAAATAAGAACCCCCAGGTGAAGTGGAGTTTCTCCCCAGCAGAGGGTCTCACCAAGGCCCCAGGACTGGCACTTTAGGTGGAGGCTTGCCTTTCAACCTCTGAATAATAATTGATACTAAAATTGAGAAGTTTTCCAGACACCAGCTTCCTGAAAGGAGCACTCAGTCGAGACAAGATGAGGTCAGTAGCGAAGGTGACTCAGGCTGAGTGGGCCGTACATTCCTCTACTTTTCCCAAACTTCCCTCTGACATCCTCCAAACTTTCTGTCTTCCCAGGACTTTCTTGCCAGGGAGTCTAATGAAGTAAAAGCTTTAAAATTGCTTTGATTTTAAAAATAATTTTATTGGTTCTTAAAATGTACTGTTAAATATTACTGTTTTTCTTCCCCCAGGGGCTACGTGAACATAAGCTCATTTTTCACACTAGCAGCATTTAGAAATGTCTCTTCTGGAGGAACACTGATGCTCTCAAATCACACGTGGTAATTCTCTCCTCCAGGCACAAAATGCAGTCTCAGCATCTCTGTATCAGGAGTCACTGTCTAAGAGTCTCTCCAGAGAAATAAGCTACCCAGGCCATCCAGCTGCTGGTGAGTTGCTTTGTGGTCATGAACTGGGTAGATTTCCTCATCTCTTGCTCATTGGCCACATTCAGGATTAATGATTCAATGCTTTTGTTGTTCCAGAAGCTGTGGTCAGTGGCTATGCAGGAATCAGTCTTTCAGTGCTGATCTTTGCTGAGAAAATAATAGTATTGTTCAAACAGTATATAGGATTTGCACTCAATATTTAATAATTTAGTGACAAAAACCTCTTAAATACACATTATACTGATATAAAATAAGTTATTCATCTATTACCAAATTTACTCTTTTATTTAATATAACCCTTGGGATAACATTTTCTTTTATGCTTCCATAAATATGCTTCACATGGATATATCACATATTGTGTATAATTTCACACAGTGTTAACATAGTTTCCATCTATTTAGATGTTTGCACATTTATTTTATCTCAATGTTTGTTCTCAGGAAGAGTATTTTTCTTCATAAACTAAATTTTCAGCAAATTTTAAATGCATTTCACTGACATAATTATAGTGTTTACATTGTATTTGTGTATTAAGTTACATTTTGTCCTTAAACCTGAAAATAACTTTTCGAATATATGTAATTTTAAATTTACATGTTTTTCCCTCAGAACTTTTAAAACCGTAACCTATTGGATTCTTGATCTTATTCACATATTGAGAAATGTGTTTCTTTTCATTGCTTTATAATTAATTTGAATTTTATCTTAGATAGCTTTACGTGATTTTCTCTATTATGGTATTATGCTTTTAACTATTGTTTTTCTTTTGATCAGAATGCCTTTAAGCTATTATAATTAATTATTTTAATAATTATATATTTTTATTCCCTATTTGACATTCACTCCATTTTATTTATTCAAACTTGCACTTAAACAACATGACTTATTCTAGATTTTTATGTATTTTAATTTTTCATATTGTTTATTTGTTTTATGCCTATTGGGACTTCTAAATATTCACTTCATCATATCTTCTAATTCATAATTTCTTTTTCAATTATGTAATTTTTCTATGTATTCTATCCTTTAAATTTAAAATTTTTACCTAATTATTTTGATAATATACCTTATTTTGATCTTACTTTTAAACTTTTCCTCTAATATATTTAAACATTATAACTACTTATATTATTTCTACAGTATATATACAATTTTGGGATTTATTAAGATGTAATGGTACAGCTGTGTTTTTCTTATAATTTTATTTCTTAATAACTTTGATCTTGATGACTTTAACTTTGTATATTTTAAAAAGAATAGTAGACTTCATTTTATTATAAATGACTGACCTCAATTGATGGGGCCATAGAAGATTCTGGGTCGAGGTATTTTATTCCAATGAAAAGTTATCTGTAATGTTAATAATGCACCCTTTACAGACACCTGAAAATGATTAAGTCTATATATTTACCTAAATTGTCCTGAGTAAAACACATAGTGTACATATGAACCAGAAACTCATATGATGATTGGTGTTAATTCCCAAATCAACCAAAGAGGAGAAATACCACCTCCACTAACTAACCTATTTTTCTAAACTTTTGAAAATGTAAGGATTCTAGCTTTAGATAGCATAGTCAGATCCAAGTACTCCTGCATCTATGCTGCTGTGACATTATATTCACCAATCAGACATGTTAAATTCTAACAAACTGTGCTTCCATTATTAGCAATTCCCACAGGTAGCATCAACTTCCAGCCTAATTTTTCTCCTACAGCTGTGCTTCTTTATCCTTTCCTGAAAAATTATTTGTGGAGGTGCATGCCTTTGAAGTTTCTCAGCATATATTGTTATTTGAGGTTGAAAAGATAAGATTATCTAAATTTTTGCCAGAAACTCTGATACCCACATTATATCTTTGAAAGCATTGGTTGTCACACTGCTGCTGACATGTGCATTTAGGAGAAGCATGTAAATGTCAGTGCATTGCAGTCTCTGAGGGGTTGAAATAAACAATACCGGAAATCTTGGCCACTGAGGCTCACATGTAGATTTTCATTCCCAGTCCAGGCATCTAGATTCAGGGGCACCTAACTGAGGGGCTTTTGGTTGAGGCCTTCTTCAGAAACTTTTGTTCAGATCCCTGTTTCTGGAGAAGAAATGGAACTTTGATAATAATTTTCATACATTCCTATTAATATTCAATTCTCTTTAATCTTGCTCATACATTCTCCTCTACGCTCTCCTACCCCCTTTTCCACAAAATTGCGGGCCTGTTTTTTATGAGGGTGCCACCTCGGCAGTGAGACAGTGCCCCATGTTTGTGCTGATCCATCTGACCCTTTCCTGGTGCTTTTCCATGAGGAAAAAATGGAACAATTAGGAGTCGGTGCTTGATCTAATGTTGCCTGTTGTTTAACACAATCACAGAAAGGAAGACAAAAAGGCGTAACTATTTCTTTGATGTGGGCCTCTTGCTTTAATTTAAAACTCTGATATTAAGCAGGTTAGCTCTTCCCAGCTCAGCTCAGCTCTTGAAATTTCATGGAAGAAATTCTGTTTTTATTGGTCTAAATTTTGTGTCTTTTATATAGAAAAACGGTAATAAAATTGCATCGTATATTTAAAAATTGAATGCCTTCTGTTTTGCCATTTTACTGAAGAGAAAATTTGTGTAGCCTATTGGCATTATTAACAGTGAAGCTCCAAGTACTAATATTCAGAAAAAATAATGAATCAAAATCCAACTATTTCTCAGTAGCATTTTCTTTTTTATAAACTTTCTATTTTATTGTCTGTAATTAAAAAACTTCTGTAGAAAAGAGTTTAAAATTTTCAAAGTTAATACAAAATTATTTTTAGAATTTCTTTTTGCATAATGTTTGTCGTAAGTAGCTAATATTAATAAATTGTAATCATCAATTCTTATCTAAGCTGCACGTTAAAAAATATGTTAATATTTGCTGCTGCCTAAAATATAATACATATTTACATAATCTAAGCTACTAAAAATAGTAATAAACACACATATAAATAATCAACATACACAGGTCATTTTTTCTATTTCTTACTTATATTTTATGTTTCATATTTGTATCAGCACACTTTATGTCCTACTATCATATATGGAAACTTGCCTATTTTGCATCTTGTTATATTAAATAATAAGACATATGCTTAGCTTCCCCTAGGTTAAATTTTTTACATAATTGTTATTAATGTAAATAATCCAGAAATGAAAGTTTTTTAAAAAATTTCCAGTGCCCTCACTCTGCATGATATAATTCTATTTTTTAAAGTGTTAGTGCTGTTTGCATTATATAAAAGAATATTTTAGTGTATCAACTAACTACATACCTGAAAGCATGGCTTACTTTTTCATTAGTATATACTTTTGGTTGTACTCGGCTATTTTTCTAAAAGTGCTTGCAAATCAGTTCCAGGCCACAGGGCTTTGTCTTCAACAAAATAAGAATGTCTCAGAGACCCACAGAAATAACTGTGCCAAGTACTCCTATAAACAGGCTTCTGATAGAATGACTTATATAACTTTGAAACACTATCAGTGGACTAATTTATTTCTCTAATTCTAGCAGAGAAGCATATGTGCTTACAAGATAGAGTAAAACAAGTATGAGTAAAACAGGACTAAATGAACTGACGATGAATGATAATAGGTTTTGTTTGGAATGTGAACATAAAACATTCCTGCTATTATTTCCTTGGTATCTAAACATGAGCTAATGGGAGCCGTTGTTACATGTTGTACACCCTTAAGAAGGTTTACAGTTTTTTGTCTCACCTATATTCGTAGTTGTCTGTATTTGTGGTTTAGAATCTCAGCTATTTTCATAGTTGTAGCTATATTTATAGTTGCATGCAATGAGTTGCATGGTTGCACTCAGTAGCCAGGGGATGGGCAGGGAGATGCAAACAATTCTTCAGAGTAAGTTATTATCTTCTGTTGCAGTGGAAGTTCTTGAGGCTTCATAGCTACCTGGCACTCATCTCATATGAGCTCCTTTGTGTTTCTGAAGCCTCTGGCATACACCGAGGGTGTGGGTTTGCCTGGAATGTAGCATCAACCTGTAGAGAACAGGATTTTCCATGACCCAGTCATTGAATAAACTTGATATCTGCTTCTGCTGTTGAGAAAACATTATTTCTCCTTCAGGAATATCCACCCTCTTCATCAAGAACATCGTGTCATTCTTCAGGGTCACAGAATGCTCTACAGCCTACTTCCTGGTGTCCACCAAGGAGGAGATTAGTTGCATCTGAATTGAAGGAAGATTCGAGAGGGGTCACAGCTGCAGAATTCCAATCACGCTCAGTCTGACTGTGCTGATTTTAGAAAGACACATGGGGATCTGCCACAAGGAAGGCACTTTGCAGGGAGGCCTCAACCCCATGGCACACCCCTTCAGGAGGGCTCTTCTCCTTGTAACAGTCACTTAGCCACTTATAGAAAGGCAACTCTTAGAAAATTTAAATGGGGACCAAAATACTAACCCTAACCAGTTTATTATCTCAAAGAATTGGAAAAACAAAGTTTTCAAATACTACAGGATTAGAAGAGTAAACAAGATATGCTTTTTCTTTGGAGCTACATATATGTATTAAAAATGGGATGTACAAAGAATTTTTTATCACATGGAGAAGTGCTTATGAGATGATATACCATTAAACATATTAATGAAAGGCATACATTAAAAAGTATAACCAAACTTATACATTAGAGCCCAAAATTTAAAATGTGTAGAAAAATGATTGAGAGGAAATATGCCGAATTATAGGAATTGATGTGTTTCTTATAGGAATCAGGATCCTGTGAGAAATTAAATTGCTTTATTGATTGTCTTGTACTTTTATCGTTTCCAAAAGTTCTACAGAGAGTGTAATGTAGGACCTTAGTCAGGAATAAACATCTCTTTAAATAACCAGCAGAGAATTTCAAAGGAAGTGTGTGGTATGGGTTTATGTGTTTCTTTCAAGATCTAATATTTTCCACGTAGTGCTTCAGAAAAAACAAGGTAATTTCAACAACTTAACCCCATCATCAAGAGGGTGTTACTTAAGTACATTATGGGAGGTCATAGATAAACAACCAGTCAGCCTCTAAGCATCAGAAAATCCGTGATGTCCATTGGCCTGAGAGATGGTCTACATTTCTTTGAAGGAAAAAAGCAGGTTTTAAAACACTAGAACCGAATCAAATCCTAAATTTGAATAGAAAGATTAGAAAGGCTTATGCATGGGAAAAAGATTCAGGGTATCCAACGGTTAATTCTGATTATTTCTGAGTAATTTAAATTTACCTATAATTTAAAAAAAAAATTAAGGTCAGGTGTATTGACTCAAACCTGTAATCCCAGCATTTTGGGAGGCCGAGGTGGGTGAATCACTTGAGACGAGGAGTTTGCGACCACTATGGGCACCATGGCAAAACCTCATATCTACTAAAAACACAAAAATTAGCCAATTGGTGGTGTGTGCTTGTAGTCCCAGCTACTTGGGAGGCTGACGCATGAGAATCGCTTGAACCTAGGGGGTGGAGGTTGCAATAACCCAAGATCTCACCACTGCACTCCAGTCTGGGTGACAGAGCAAGACCTTGTTTCAAAAAAAATTTTTTTGTATTTTAATTAGGAATCAAATAAGATAATTAAATGTAAACTTACACTTAATTTACTTTTTAAGCATTTTAAGAATTGGTATTCTAATTTTGTGTCGGTACATTTTAAGAATCAATAAAATTATTTTTAAAATCAAAGCAATTTTAAAGCTTTTACTTCATTAGACTCCCTGGCAAGAAAGCCCTGGGAAGATAGAAAGTTTGGAGGATGTCAGAGGGAAGTTTGGGAAAAGTAGAGGAATATATGGAGGGCAGAAGGAGTGAACATTAGGGAAACCCTCCCCTAGCTCAGTCTTCAGATACGCTGGTGGACTTCCCCACTCAGCCTGAGTCACCTTCGCTACTGACCTCATCTTGTCTTCTGACTGGATGCTCCTTTCAGGAAGCTGGTGTCTGGAAAACTTCTCAATTTTAGTATCAATTATTATTCAGAGGTTGAAAGGCAAGCCTCCACCTAAAGTGCCAGTCTTGGGGCCTTGGTGAGACCCTCTGCTGGGGAGAAACTCCACTTCACTGGGGGGTTCTTATTTTATACAAAATGGGGACATGACGGGGCAGCCAAGCAGCAGAAAACCAAATCATGAGCAAGAACCAAACTCTTGGGGAGTTTGATTCTTTCTGCTACATAGTGCACAAGTTCTGGAGAGACTATAGGGGTGAAGAATAATAAAAGATTTTATTTTTGAATCATCTTGCGTGGTTGCCTGTTTGGAGTGCAGTAGCGTGATCATAGTTCACCGCAGCCTAGAACTCCTGGCTCAAGTGATCTCTGCCTCAATATCCAGCATAGCTGAGACAACAGTTTGGAACTATCACACCTGGCTAAATGTTTTTAATGCTTCAAGTTTTTTGTATAAATGGGGTCTCACTATGTTGACAAGGCTGGTATCAAATTCCTGGCCTCAAGCAATTCTATCTCCTCAGCCAATCAATATGCCAGGAATACAGGCATGAGACACCGTGCCTGGCCAGCGCCTTTATAATGTTTTATTCTCCCAAGTTCTTCTCAAAAAAGTCAACATCCACCAAGTATCAGCTGAGATTTGAACTTCAACCCTGGGCTGAACTCAGTGGCAGGACTCTCCATTCCCAACAAGGGACAAATGGAGAAATAAATGGTGAGAGGGAGGAGCTTGATTCTGCCCATGCTAATTGGACACCTGTTGTGTGCTAGGAAGACACACAGAGGTCAATCCAAATTCCAGCTCCAGCCAGAGCAGGACAGCCATGGTGTAGAAGGCCTAGCCCAGAGGAGGGAGCCTTAGCAAGCGGAGCACCCCTCCATGGAGTATTGACACTCTGTTATTTCAGTTATACTGAAAACTAATAGAAGGTATGAGATATTGCACTCAACCATTATGAGCAAGAAAATCCATTCAATCTTCTTTA
Organism: Homo sapiens; assembly: GCF_000001405.40. NCBI lineage: Eukaryota > Metazoa > Chordata > Mammalia > Primates > Hominidae > Homo > Homo sapiens. The sequence goes on from NW_021160013.1 coordinate 185,147, forward strand.
ATTTGGTTAAAACTAACCTTTACTAAAAGGCAGCAAAGAATAATGCTTGTCTGTGAGAATTTAAAAACATCATAGCAAACCACTCCGTTCTCAGTTTAAGAGGAAAGGCAAAACGCTTGTGTGGGAGAATAAGAAAAAAAATATTTATGTAATACTTTGAGTTTCTATTGCTCCTAACCACCATTGCTACATAATTATTCCAAATTATAGCTCTTATTTACCCATCCTACTGTTAAAAAGTACCTCACTGATTCTGTAACCCCCAACTAATCCACCCTATAGTCCCTAGATGACCAGAGATGCCTATTATCCTCTGCTTTTTACTGTCACTCTCCCCAGTCCAGCAAACTCATTCCTCTTCCTGCATAAGCCTCCTGTGTTTCTGCCTTTTTTTATCTGCACCCTCTGCTGAGATTCTTTTGTCTTCACCCATCCCAAAGCCATCCATACTTCCACTGCTTGACTAGGGGTAATTATCTCATTCACCCAGCCTAATTTTTAACCTTACCTTCCTGCTCCCACCCTCTCTTCACTCTGAACAAGATTTTACTAGGTTGTTGTTATGTTCTGGGGTTCGGAGAATCTGACTAGTGTGAGTTTCCCAAGGTAAAGGTAATGCCTTAATAATTTTCACTTTAATTGCTGTTTGCGCAGTGTTTTGCACAAAATTTAACACAATAATTGCTCCCAGAGTAAATGTATAAATCTTTGCAATGTCTGATTTGACTCCCTTAGAGTTTGGATCTTTTCCCCTACAACCATCCAGAGTCCTGTCTAACCAAAGTGAAAATGCGGAACTCCCTCTTTCTGGCTGGCATCCCTGCAGAGAATGGAAATAAATGCTGTCTATGCCAACTCCCTAGAACAAGTATAGGTTTCATCTAGACTAGTTTTCAAAATGAGGAAACAGGATGCAGACAAATACTTTATTCCCACTTTTTGGCCTGGGGTTTATTAACAAGGTGAAATTATACAGAAGAATAAATTAGTTTAGCTGAAAAAAGAAAAAATGTATAGTTAATGGAGGGAAAAAATTGAAAATGCAATAAAACCTGAAGATGTTCAGGAATTCAAAGTTGTTGATGCATAGAAATACTACTGGTTTTTCTACATTGGTTTTGTGTCCTAAAACTTTACTTGCTTATCCATTTCAGGAGGCTTTTCAAGTTTTCTCCAAAAGGAGTTTTGGAAAGACTTTAGCATTGTCTGCATAGTGACTCATATTGCAAATGGAGAAAGAGAATTCAATTTTTTTTTCTATTTGTATGCCTTTTTCTTTTCTATTGGCTGATTGCTGTGGATAGGACTTTTAAATCTAATTAAATTGTATTTGTTAGATTTTTGTATATTTTAATATGTCTCCAATTAATTTTATATCTGTATAATGTCCCCTTATAAAGGAATATGTAGCTGTTTTATTTAGTTATTTTATTATTGATGCACATTTGAGTTTTTTTCAGTTTGGAAAAGTACCAAATAATGCTGCTTAGAGCATTTTTCTGCATTGGAAAATATGCTGGCATTTCTATTGGGTGTATATACCTAGTAGCAGAGTTTCTGGGTCCTAGAGTGTGCTTATGTACATCGTGTATGTAAGGAGTTACTACTCAAGAGGTTTTGAATGCCGTTATAACAGTTTGCACACAGAATGGTATAAGAAAGTTCCAGTTGCTTGACATCATCACTAGTACTTAATTTTGTCAGTTTTCAAAAATGTTAATGATTGCATAGTGGTATTCAATTGTAGTTTTCATATGCATTGCTCTGATGCATAAGGATGTGGATGTGTTCATCTACTTGTTGGCCCTTCGGTTCTGTATGTGGAACTCCTAGTCACATGTTTGCCAATTTTGTTCAATGTATGCATCTTTGTTTATTAATTGATGGGATTTAGTTAAATAAACTAGATAAAAGTCTTTTGCCACATAAATATATGACAAATGTTGATTTCCACTTTGTTCTTGCCTTTCAGCTCTCCTGAAGCTTTTTTTTTATGAAGAGAAGGTTTTAATTCTAATAAAGTCCAATTTGTCATATTTTTCTCTTGAGAATTAATGCATTTTGTGTCCCGAGAAATCTGGGCCTGTGCCAGTCATGGACATATTTATCTATGTTATCTACTAGAAATATTGTTTTCAGCTTTGACCTTAAAATTTAAAATCCACTTTTCATTGGAATTTGTTAATAATATAAGATAGGAGTGTTTTTTCTCACATAAATAACTGGTTGACTCAAGGCTATTTACCGAGAAGACTGTCTTCACTCCTCTTCTGTGCCTTTTTTGTAATATACAGAATGTCCAAATGTGTGAGTCTGAGTTGGACTCTCGAGTTTTTCTAGTTTTCTTTGTGCCTATTTTTGCATTACTACCATAGATAGCTTTTATTACTATAGCTTTAATCTAAGTCTGAATATATGTCATTTTAAGCTCACAAACTTTGTTATTCTTCAGGACAGTTTTTACATTTCTTCGATTTTTTATATGTATTTAAATTTTTTAAACTGATTAGACAGTTTCCACAAGATTTCTGCCAAAATATTGTATTGTGAAAATGGAAATCTATGAATCAATTTAGGGAGAAGTTACATAGAAACAAAGCAAAACAAAACACTAATAACATCCAAAACAAACTTAAAGAGAACACCACAATAAGAAAAGAAATTCCCAAATTGGAATAAATATTTACAACTCATGAAATTACAAAGGGGCTCGCATTTCCATAAAGGGCACTCTCTCTCTCCCTCTCTCTCTCTTTTTTTTTTTCCACAGAGACTAACTCTGTCACCATGTCTTGAGTGCAGTCGTGCAATCTCGGCTCACTGCAACCTCTGCCTCCCAAGTTTCAGCAATTCTTCTGTCTCAGCCTCCTGAGTAGCTGGGGCTACAGGCTTGTGCCACCATTCCCGGCTAATTTTTTGTAATTTTAGTAGAGACGGGGTTTCACCAGGTTGGCCAGGCTGGTTTTTAACTCCTGACCTCAAATGATCCGCCCGCCTCAGCCTCTCAAGTGTTGAAATTACAGATGTGAGGCACCACAGCTGACCTGTAAAGACCTCTTAAAAATTAGTTAAAAAACAAACAAAACAGAAAAAGAGAAAGAAGAAACAGCCACTCAGTTAAAAGAAAAAGATAAAGAAAAAGAAAAAGAAAAGAAAAGAAAAAAAGGCAAAAGACATTATTTTACAGGTCTAGTGCCCTGTGCCCCTCACTGTAATGGGGGTGGATATGGGCTTCACAGGACATGAAATTCATCAAACAGTTGCTGGTTGAAGGAGGGAAAATCTTGCGGGACCAGCCTCCAGAACAGAGCCTGTGGTGCACTGTTTCATCCCGTAGCCCTGGTAAGAAAACCTGGCTGTGCCGTGCTTTATGTTCACCTGCATTTGCCCTGTTCAGAGGCCTGAGCTACCGTGGACACAAAAGTCTGCTCAAACTCTCCCCATCCCAATATTCTATCTGGTATTGAGCATGACACCCTGTCTTCACTGAGCATGTGTTTATGCAGTTTTGTGACCACCTATCCATTTTACAACAGGAAGACTGAGGCCCCCAAAAAAGGCAAAGACTGGTCCATATCCCAGAAATTGGGAAGAGCACAGAGTATTAGGGAGGGATCCAGCTTCCAAGGCCTTGCATGCACCCCACCCATCAGGTTTGCTTTGGAAATGAGTGCTCTTAAGTCCTGGAAAACCCTGTGGTCTACTTTCTACCTGGGCTTTCTACCCTTCCTTATTCTCACATAGGTGTGCAGCCATGAACACACAAACACACCACACACACACACACACACACACAGGCTTCTAAGGTGGAGATCATGGAGGTGAGGTTAGAGAAGAGGAAACCAGAGAAGTGACAAAACGGGAAGAAATAGAAGAGGCAGCTTTGCCATGAGGCAGAGGCATCCACTCCCCCAGCTACATGACCAGGAGCTGACAGCATGTGATGAAGGATCCTCCAGGTTCCCTGGGTTCTTCCAGGCCTGGGGATCTTCCCAGCTGTTTCAAGAGGACAGGACAGGGGTTGTGACTCCCACCTCTATGGGCACCTGGAACTAAAATGAGCTATGCCCTCCCCCAACCACCCCATGTGATATAAAGTGAGGCTACGGGAAAGAAAACCTTCGTTTTCTCTCTCATAAATAGGGGTACTCAAAAGGAATAATACCAAGAATTCTAGATACTCATAAGTGTCTGCTCCCCTTGGCTCTTCATTGGTAACTCACTGTGCTTTGAGACTCTGGGAAGAGGCTTTTCAGGTTCTAGAGGTCCTTCAGAGAAGAGAGAGGCCTAGAGATGTGGGCAGATGAGGACTTGGAATAAAGCAGAATGTGACAATGCACTGGGCTCTGGAGTGTGGGGCCCAGAAAAAATACTAGATTTTTGGGCTGTCCTTGAGGTCCTCATTCAGAAGTGGAAGAAAATAATGTCTCTGAATGCTGTTAAAGTGTTTAATGAGTGCACAGCACACTCAAAGAGGCTGAGGAAAATAGGAATCAAGGGAGGTTTCCGAGGTTACTTTTATGGCCCTTGGAGTCTTCAGATACTGCTCCTTTTCCCAGGGGTCCTTGAATAGCCACTGCCTTGAGAATTCCCCAATGCAGGTGCCTGTTTTGTGATGCTTCCACCTGGGACTTCAGGGCTAGTGGAGGCCTCTAGGTGGCGGCAGACCCCGTGTTTCTTATGCCCGCTGGGCTTTACTGGAGCAGCTGGAGCCGGGGGAGAGACAGGCTGAGGTCCTGCAGCTCCTGTTATCATTCATGATCTCCACATTATTGGGTGGCCAAAAGTGGGAAGAAGGGCTTTGTGATTTTCCATGTTATTTTACTCAGCGACTCTTCCCCTAGCACTCACCATGTGGCAGCTACCTTGGTAGGTTCACCTTATGGTACCAAAAATGATTATGTTATCCCTGCCTCCCCGCGGGGAGCCCACAGTCTGAGGACGGCAGGACAAAAACACTAAAGCAAGTACATGTGAAAGAAAAGAGCATTTTATAATGGAAATAAAGTAGAATGTTGGGAGGGAGGGCTGGGGAGAGGTTGCCTGGAGGGGACATGAATGCCTCCCTGAGGTGACATTATGTTGTGACCAGAATGACAACAGAGAGCCAGTCCTGCGCAGGTGTGCAAAGTGTGTCAGGGAAAAGCCACTCTTTGTGAAGAGACTCACAGGCACAGGTGAGTTCAGCAGAGGAGGTTATAACGGGACAATTGTGGCGGCAGGCAGCCTGAGAAAGAAAGGAAAAGAGGGGAGGGAGGATCCTGGGGACTGAAAGAGGAGATTAGTCATTTGCCCCTCTCTGACAAAATTTCCCTGAATTTTAGCACATGTTGACAACAAATACTATCTCACAACTTTTGTGAACCAGAATCTCGATATAGCTTAGTTGGGTGCCTCTGCCTCAAGGTCTCTTACGAGGCTGGGGCTGTGATTTCAACTGAAGCTGGATTTGAGGAGAGATCAGCCTTCTATCTGCCTCATGGAAACTGGCACGATTCAGTGTGAACTGAGAGCCCGAGTTCCTTCCTCTCGATTGGCCTGGGCATCTCCTCAGTTCTCTATCATGTGGGTCTGTGCCTAGAGCATCTTAGGACACTGCAGATCACTTCCTCATCTTGAGGATTACAATACAGAGATGAAAAATGAAAGAGATAGACAGACATATGCAGAGAAAAAGAGAGAAAGGGAGACAGAGAGATTGAGAGAGGACACACAGGACAGAGCAAGTAAGAGGAAAATAATAGCTGTTTTAGAAATATAACTTTGGAAGTTGCAGAAGACTATGTGATTCCCCACCATGTTCACATACCAGAACCTTAATCCCCAGTGTAATGGCCTTAGCAGGTCAGAGGTAATTAAGTCCGAAGCATGAGGACCTCATGATAGCGATTACGGGCTTTGTAAAAGAAACCGCAGAAGGCTGTCTCTCCCTCTCTCTGCTAAATGAGAAAACAACCTGAAGTCTGGAGTTTGAAACTCAGAAGAGAGTCCTTACCAGACCCCAACCATGCTGGAAGCCCAATCTCAAATTTCTGGCCTCTAGAACTAATGTTTTTTATTTATAAGTTGCCTAGTCTATGTTTTTTGGTATAGAAGTCTGAACTAAGTCAGAAGTGATAACCTATCACATTTGTTGTTTTCCCTTTGACAGAAACTAGAACCAGGTCCCCAAAGAGTTCATCCAATGACTAACAGAAATTCTTCAGTTTGCAGAATGACAGATAAGAAAAGATACAACTTGTTGAAAGAATGAAATTTATTCCACTTATGAGACTTCTAAAAAGTGGCTAAAATTGGTCGGAACCAATATGGTCAACTGGAGTCTGTGTGAAATAAGCTCACTGATGTCAGAGCCCAAATTTCCATCACATGTTTTGTACTAACTGTCCCCAAATTTGCACATGTGATCTGTGTGTAGCAAGAAAAAATAGTTGTTCATGCCCAGTGATTTTCCATACATTTTTCCTTTAAGCAATTCCGTACTAATCCAGAACCTACCTCCTAAACCTTTCTGAGAATATTACTACCTTTAAGTAAGCACAGGGAAACAGACTTGAGCTGGAATCCCATCTCTCTGTTAGAAACCCGGTGTTATAGTACCTGCTTCTGAGGCACTGAGAGGTGAGCTGCGTTTTAAAATAACAGAGTCACTCACAACTTAGTGTTGTTGTGAGACTTTGTTGGGGGTGCCCACCACATAGGCTGAGATGAGGCATATACATATGATTCTAAATATAATGCACAGCACTGGAATATTTAATGCCAGAAGACAGTATCTGATTTTCTTTTAATTTCAACCTCTTCTGCTGTGGAATGGAAAATTAAGGCCATATATATAAAATATATATCTTTTATGTATAAAGATACATAAACTATGTATCTTTTATATATAAAGATATATATGTATAAGTTTATATATTATATATAGTTATATATAATTGATATATATATAGTTATATATAATATATAAATAAAAATATTTATATACATTATATATATATATATTTTTTGAGACACAGTCTCGCTCTGTCACCCAGGCTGGAGTGCAGTGGCAGGATCATGGCTCAATGTAATCTCTGCTTCCTGGGCTCAAGTGATTCTTACACCTCAGCCTCCTGAGTGGCTGGGATTACAGGCATGCATCAACACATCTGGCTAATTTTTGGATTTTTCGTAGAGAAGGGTTTTTGCCATGCTGGCCATGGCTGGTTTCAAACCCCTGGCCTTAAGTGTTCCAGCTGCCTTGGTCTACCAATCTGCTAAGATTACAGCAAGAGCCACTGCATCCAACCGATTTTGATTCATTCTATCTCATATATCACCAAAGACTGTTTTTGGAAGTTGATGTTAGCATAATCCCATTATGCATACTTCAGGGCTGGGGAGACCTGAAGCACACAGTCATTTTCATATGGTCACAGAAATGAAAAGGAAAAGAAGATTTTAACCCAACTCTGTTCTCTCAAACCTGGGGCCCTGGCTGCATTTAGAACTTTTTGGGAATTAAGGGACATAATTGTGTTTGCATAACTGTTTACAGGTAAAGAGTTGACATGGGAGAGGAGGGTGAGCAATCAGCAGCCCAGCAGGGACTTTGCGTAGATTTATGGAGGAAAAGGGCTCAGGGGATAAAACCTTGAAGAAGTTAACAGACTTCCCTTGTGACAAAACCTAACAGAATTTAGAACTTTGGGAACCAGAAACCCACATTCTAGAGACAGCCCTGTATCTAGCTAACTTCTTGGGAGATGCTTGAGAGGGCACTGTGTTCTCATTGTGTTATATTCCCAAGCTGTTGCCTGAGAAAGGCTCAAAGTGAGAGCCTTTTCTGACAGTATACATACTGGCTCAGCCTACATCCTTGATACCACTGGCCATTCGACAAGAGGCACCCACAGGTAACACAGTTTAGCCCAGGGCAGGTCCGTCCATGCCAGGCCACCTGTGTCATCTAATCTGGGCAACCCGACCCTGCCTACCATTACCCTGTGTTGCAAGGGGAGCAGGAAAGGAGGGGGCTTTTCCTCACAGGGGCAGGTTTTAAGACACAGGAACCCTGGTGGGTCTGTCATGTTCATACCCAGGTCACGGTTGGTGGAATAAAAAGTTGTGAGTTGCGGACCAAGTACGTCTACTCAGATGTGAATCCCAAGGCCTTAAGCTGTCCTCGGGTTTCCTCATTGGCTGGGGGTCTATGCAGATACTCCTATGTTCCTGATCTAGGAAACAGAATTTCTAATGCAGATGTCACCTGGTGGTAAAAACAAAGAAGACAATTAACTTTTTTCGCTGCTGGGAACACTCTTTGTAGAGCTGCATTAAAATCAGTGAGCAGATATTTGATGGGTTCAAGTCCCCCATCTCCTTGGACAACTGGCAGGTTCACCACACCCCCCAAGCATGGCATACAATGAGTTATGTTGAGAGCAGGCACATGGGGTTCTCTACAGAGAGGGACCTGACAAAACCAGGATGGGTCCAGGATCCAGACCCAAATATGGAATTTCTCTGCGCTTTCTCCTAGGGGATTTCCATGAGTGACCCTCAGATCTACCCCCCAAAAATCTAGCCTTAACTGGTCCCAGTGGCAACTTGGTTAAGTGTAAAGTCCCTTTTTACATTCTTGTAGAAATATCAGAGAAGGCCTTTGTGTTGTTTTTACTTTACACTAGGCTGCATTTATTCATGTTACTACAGTTTGTATAGTTTTAATTATTCCCCTCTGATATCATCTGTAGCAAGCAGGTTCATGGTACTGCCAGACTTTCTCCAAGACTTGAAAGCCACCACTATCACTAATACTCTACAAAAATAGGGAAGAGTTTACATGAAAAAGGGGTTATATTGTTTCCTACATTTGTCTGCAATGTGTCATCTAAGAGAACTCATCCCAGTAGCCCATCAGGGCAGAAGTGGTGCCCTCACATCTCTTTGTAATGTTCTATAATGGGGGTCACTTCCCAGAGTGGTTTAGCCTTTCAATGGCTATTATTTCTGATCAAAATGGAATAAAACTAGAAATGAATAACAGAAGAAAACAAAAATAGCAACATATATATGGAAATTAAACAACTCACTTTTGAGCATGCTCATGTTTAAGGGTTGTAAGACTTAATATTATGAATAATGCTTATGATGTCTAAAGCGAGTTACAGATTCAATGCAATCCCTTTTAAATTAAGAACTTTTTTTTTGAAATAGAAAAAGGAACCAACAAATTATATGGAATCTCAAGCGACCATAAAGAGCCCCAAAATGTTTAAAAAAAACAATGTTAGTGACCTCACCTTTTCTGATTTCAAAGCACATTACAAAGCAACAGCAATGAAAACAGTTTGTTTCTGGCATAAACACAGACAATTTTTCCAATAAAACAGAAGGTAGCACACATGTAAACCTCACACATATGAGCAAATAGCTATTTGCATACCAATATTCATTGCAGCATTATTCAGAAATGCCAATAGGTGAAAGCAACACAAATTTTCCTCATAGAATGAATAAATAAATAAAATTTGTAATATAAAACTAATGGAATATTACTTAGCTTTTAAAGGCAGAAAATCTTGTACCATCCACAATAAAGAGGAATCTTGAGAACATAATGCTAAGTAAAATTAGTCACAATAAAACAGATACTCTATGATTCTACTTATATGTAATATCTAAAGTATTGAAACTTAGAACCAGAAAATAGAATGATTTTTATCAGGAGCCAGGTGGTAAGGACAATGGGTAGTTGTCATTTCATGTGTACTGAGTTTTAGTTTTGCAAAAGAAAAAATTTTACAAATATGTTGCTTAACAATGTAAATACACTTAACATGACTGAACTGTATAAGAAAAAATATTAAAGATTCTAAATTTTATGTTATGTATTTTTACCACAATCGAAATTAAAAATGACACCCAAGGGCCAAGAGTGATCACTCATGCCTGTAATCGCAGCACTCTGGGAGGCTGAGGCATGCAGGTTACTTGAGGCCATAAGTTCAAGACCAGCCTGGCCAACATGGTGAAACCCCAGCTTCATGAAAAATACAAAAATTAGCCAGGCGCGGTGGTGCACAACTTTAATGCCAGCTACTCAAGAGGCAGCAGCTGGAGAATTGCTTTAACCTGGGAGGTGGAGGTTGCAGTGATCCAAGATTGTGCCACTGCACTTTGGCAACAGGGTGAGAGTCTGTCAAAAGAAAAAAAAAAAAAAAAAAAAGACACCCGAAGGGACAGAGTTACAAAGTTTCTGAAAAATTATCTTCAAATCACATAAATCTTTCCTTCACACTAAGATAATATAAACAATAGATGTTGAAATTAAGACAATTTCCATGATTACTCACTTAGACAGAATAAATTATTGGCCATCAAATAAGAAGAAAATATAAAAGTCATAAACAAAATAGGGGCAATATTTATACAGGCAAACAAACAGTTAAATCATTGTATTAACAAAAGACATAGGGATGGTTCATATTTGACTTCTGCCCCACACTGTCTTAATGCATACAGAGTTGAATATTGTTATACAATATTATATTATACAAATTAAAACTTAAAACAATAAACTAATATAAGGTGCCCTACCCTAAAACATGAAACACAGAAATGTAAAATTGCAAAACAAAGTTAAAATAAACATTAACCCCCAAATTCTTATTTGAATAATGAAATTCAAAATCATAATAAATAGGTAGAAAGTAAAAACACAATTAACTGATGTGAGACAGCCTACTCTAAAAAATACAGAAACATAAAATTATAAAACATAATTAAGAGAAACTTTAATCCATAAAATCCTGAATAAACATAGTGTCCAAATGAAAAAGAATCCCAGGTAACTACAATTTTTAACTCTTCCTGTGAATCTATGAAAAGTATGAATTTTGAATTATTTGGATACAGTTAGGGCAACAACATTTCAGAGAAAACACATTATAATTAATACAAAGAGCTGTGATGAGAAAGTTTTAAGGAATAAGCATTTAAGTAATACTAGAGAAAGTTTTAAATTATGCTACTGATGCATTGCTGCTTTTCTTACACAAAACGATAAGGCTGTAATCTAGCTTTTAATTGAAAAGTCTTACATTTCTAAATATGGTAACAATATAAATATTGTAAATACAGTATAAAACATTGACATATAAAATAAAAATTGGAAATAAATTGTACTATTAGTCAAATAAAAGTTGGGAAAACTGGAAGAAGATGCTAATAGTAACATTGTGCCTAGAGTCAATTAAACATACAAGCCAAATATTTTAATAAATTATAAATTATATAATTTATACATAATATATACATTTGAGCATGCTATTTTACAACTTCTGAAAGGAAATTACAGACAAATGTGACACATGATAATTCAGAAAGTGAAAACACAGTCATAGTAATCTTCATATTAAAGAAGACAGAATCATAAAATACTAAGTGAGAAATAAAGTAATAATTGTGAATTCAATATATGTTGAACAATATTCTAATTTCCCTTACGGAAAAAGTTTTTGTAAGAAATCAGTAAAATGAGTACATACAATAAACCATCCTACAGTAGAGGCTGTTGGCATATAGAGTTTACATTTCTATGATTAGGTCCTACTAAGAAAAAGGAAATTTTAAAATAAAATACTTAGATTTTCCTATTTAATAAGATAATTTTTGCCTATAAAGTTTTTCAGTCTAATTTTCTTGTAGAATTAGGTTTTAGCCATCGTAAAACTTGACATTATGAAGCAGAAAACAGGTGTCATCTGTCTCTGGTGTTCCTGGAATTTCTAACCCAAATGCCAATTCCTCCACAACTCCCTTCACACACTTCTGAATTGAAGCACAACAGATTTATTAAAATTGGCATAACAGCGGTCTCCAGAAATGTGCAGAGATTTTCCCAGATCCCCAAAATCAATGACAAACTATTCAGATCATTTAGGTTCTCACAAGATTCTGGGAGGACTTTGGCTTTCAGTGTGAACGCACTGGAAGATTCTAAGAGAGAGGGAGAGAGAGAGAATGTGTGTGTGTTGAAATCAGAACCCCACCTTATGTGTTTATTGTGGAAATTGAAAATGAAAGCCTAAAGTTGAAAATTAAAATCACACATGATAGCACGTTGCAAACTGTTTTCTGTGCTAGATGGGTCGTTCTAGGGTGTAGGACCCTGGAAACACCGTTTTCCCCTCCTTCCGGAAAGAGCTACTCACACTGCTCAAAGCCTGCATCCACATGTACCATGTCGAAGACCAGCTCAAGAGCCTGGACCCATATGCCACCTTCAGCAGGGTTGACTGCAGCTTCTTGTTCTTCCTGAGCATCTTCTCCAATGGTGACCTGAGAGTTGCGGGAGGCATTGGGGCCAGGATTGAACAGAGGAAAAAGGAGCACGGAGGCCAGGTGCTGAGGACCAGGCCATCTCACCTGGAGAGTTCTGGCCCTGAGACATCCAGACCAGCATGATGTTTAGGTGCAGACAGCTGGCCCTGGGTGGCCCTGTGCTGATCACCGGCCTCAGCCCCTCAAACAGTGGGAAATGGAAGAATGGCTTGGAAATGGGCCCTGTCGACAGTGTGTCACCTGAGCACATTCTCCCAGGGGCCCAAGAGGGGCCATCGTGTCTCTAGAACCAGAACTGGAAGGTGAAACTGCCAGGGGGAACAAGGAAGAGGGTCCTCAGTTGGGTGGAGGGTCTCACAGCAAGACGCCTGGCTTAATCAAGCTTGGCCATTCCTGAAGCACGTTCAGTGACTAAAAGTGCCTACCATGAGCAGCTGGAACACACTCTCTGAGAGCTGCAAGATGCATGGGGACCTCAAGTACCTGTTTGTAATTACAGCCAAGGACCAGCAGGCAGCATTGCTGCATCCACATGGGCTTTTGCTGGAACCAGTAAGTCTCTGCCAGCCCCTCCCAGGCTCCTGGGATGCCACTTGTTCTGGGTCTGTGGACAGATAACCAGGACACTTACTCAGTGAAGCCCATCGCTCAACCCCAGCCCCACCATACCCTGTCTCCTATGCCATTCCTCATCCCAGAAGGAAAGGCAATGCCTTTGTCCCACAGCCCCTGCCTTGTGTCATCTCATGTGGGGGTATGGAATGAACCCGTCAGCCTAAACTCCAGTCCTTCTGCCTGAGGAATCTGTCCCCGCTGTCTTAGTCGCCCTCTAGGGAGCTGTCAGTGGGATAAAGAGCAGCCCTGGAAGAGAGGCCCACCTTCTTCTGTTTGACTTCAGGACAGCCTTTCAGGGCAAGAACCCAGAGCAGATGGAGGCCTCACAGAAGGCTGTGGCAGGGCTCTCGGCTTGGTGGGCTAAGCATCTCCCTCTCTGATGACTGCCATGGGGCCCACAACCACTCATTCAAGAGGGTCACCACCACATTGCAGGTGTTCAGCTGGACGGTTCCCCAGGCAGAGCCTGCCATGGACTGCATACACACAGAGGATGCACACCTTGAAGTTGGACAATGAGGAGAACATTCCTGAAGAGGTGCATGCAGCCTGGCCCTGCCCTCACTGGGAACCCCCTTCCATCTGGGTACTAGACAGAATTCTGTGCACTTTTCTGGAGGCTCCATGCTGGTCTGTTCATTTGGAAGTTTGATGCTGTCCGTGAGGAAGTAACAAAAGAGATATCTCAGAGCAGGTTGTGGGGCACAGGCTGAGAGATTTTCTCCCTCCCTAGTCCCTCTGCAGACACGGGGCTGGAACAAGAACCTGTGGATAATGAGGGAACTTCTCTTCGAGAACCGGCCTGAGCAGCTGCTTCAAGAAAGAGCCACATTAAAGTGCCTATAGCCCCTGATGAGGGAATGGTAGCCTCAGGCCCGCCTGCCATGTGTGAGCAGGTTTTCTTGCTATCAGGATGAAAGCAAAGAAAGCTGGAATGAGCCCAGCCCTCTCAGGCACCTTGAAGACTGTTGGGGTTCCTTCCAGCCCTTCTAGCCTTATGCTTTTTGGCAGGCCACTCAGGCACCTTTTTCCAGCCTCTGAGACTTCCATGCTCTGGAAGGAGAGGGTCCCACTTTTCACTAGGCTATGGGGCCAGGCCCATCCAGCTCCCGGCTTCCACTAACAACCATGGGGCTCTCACCTGGGCACACACTGCCCAAACATGGACCTTCTAAGGCAGAAGATCATGTGTCTTGCAGTTCCAGCTTTCTAGGGCTTAAAAGTTATCAGTGCTGTTATTAAGATAGGGAAGTGAGAAAGGAAAACTTGCTGTAAAAGTTTCCCATAATCTTACCACGGAGATCATCAGCACAGATGACAGCACAGGTAGGGCTGCTGGGGAGGCTGAAGGAGAGTGTCCAGCCTGTTCTGCCAGCTGGTCCTTGCCAGGGGTGTCTCGTGACCCAGTCCCTTAGAGAAGCATGCAGATATCTCAGCAAGTATCTGGAAGGTGCAGATCAGGGCAACCCAGCACTACTGATGGTGGAGTGGGCCTACCTC